>NC_000003.12:168251028-168402543 GCF_000001405.40 Homo sapiens | reverse complement strand
CTTCAAAAGTTAACTCAAACTCATCTGGTCACTAACAGAAGAAACTCAAAGGTCTTATGGTCTCTTATGGTTTGATAGAGCATAAGCTTGCTGGTTGCCAGTGTCTATTTAATATATTTTCCTAAACTGTGTGGATAATGAAATAAGATATTCAGGGGAATTAAATGTTAATTATGTATACGCGTTTGTAAATATGCTCAGTGATTTGAACTGATTCATTATATGAGCTTAAATTATTATTACAACAGTGAATGTCAACCATTCATGATACATTATCTTCATCACAAAGTATCAACAACCAAATTCAACCATGTGCTCCCCAAAAATTAATGACCACTATAGAATTATTCTCAATTTGCTCTTAAATAATTCCAGAAAAGTTCTTCTGACGCTGTAAACATCCCCCAAAATACATCTTCCCAGTTTCTCTTCTATCTAAATAACTCAAGAGAAATTTCAGATAATAATAAAGAATTTGAGCGTAGTAACTGTTAAGTATTGCTGGGCGCAGAGCCACGCAGTGGCTCGCCTGTAATCCCAGCACTTTGGGAGCCCGAAGCAGGTGGATCACGACATCAAGAGATCGAGATCATCCTAGCCAACATGGTGAAACCCCATCTCTACTAAAATACAAAAAATTTAGCCAGGCTTGGTGACAAGCTCCTGTAGTACCAACTACTCAGGAGGCTGAGGCAGAGGAATCTCTTGAACCCGGGAGGCGGAGGTTGCAGCGAGCCGAGATAACGCCACTGCGCTCCAGCCTGGTGACAGAGCAAGACTCTGTCAAAAAAAAAAAAAAAAAAGGATTTGTCCAAGGTCACAAAGCTAATAAGAGGCAAAGATAAAATCCAAAATAAATGTACCTGATACCAAAACCTATTTTCTTTCTGTTGTGATTTTGACCACCTCCTCTATGTAAATAATAATATCAACCATTTATTAAGTATTCACTATACTTTATTCATATTATCACATGTATGTCTCAAAACAAACCTTCCAGATAGGTTTTATTCTTCCAAGTTGCAGAGAGGAAATTGAGGCTCAGAAAAATTTAAATGTATTGTATTAGTACCTCATGAGAGAATGAAAAATGTATATCACTTCAAATCACTGCATCTGTGGGCCCAGGCAACAAGCATGAAATCTGTCTTGAAAAATCTTTGAAGAACAGCATGATTATTTTGGAGAGTTCTGGGTATTAAAAAATCAAGTCAGAATTCTTATTTTAAAAGGCAAAAAAAGCAAAGACAGCTCTCCCAGTAACAGGGACTAAGCCAGGATGGACAGAAGAAGATGTATACTTGAATTATTCTGGGGTAGCTCGCCGTTTGGAAGTCAGAGTAGGAACCAGAAACGCATCGGCACTTCCCACTTATAAATACTGCAAATCATTCCTCTCTATGGCTGTCTTCTCAGCTGCCCTCAGCATTTTGGGAAGGGGAAGGTCTCGATGAGCCAGTTATCATTTTGCTCAGGGCTAAGCGTGAGCTCTTTATGGCCCTATCTACTTGTCCACTGGCTGTGATGTGCGCCAACTTTGCTCATGTGAAACACAAAGACTCCCATGATTCAATTAAAGAGCAGCCCCTTAAAAAGAAGATAGGATTAAGTCCATACTACTACGAGAAATGGCTCAGTGAGAAACTGTCACATCTTTTACTGGATATAAGAAAAAATAACAATGTTAACCTAACTAAAGGGTAAAATATGTTTTGTTTTTCTAAAAACTATATGTCTTAAGTTACATCTTTGCAGTTTAATTTGAAATGCATTTGTGGGTTACTGATTATTTAATCTGTACATGTAAATAATTTAGTCCTACATTCTCTAAGCATGTTTTTGGTTAATCAGATTTGAGGTCAGCATTACTCAAATACCTGTTTACCTCTAAATTACCAAAATTGATTTCAGCTGATCTAGTTGGATTACATAGAATCCCTTTCATTTTAGCTGGCTGCAGAAGAACATCATTATTTTCTCAAATATTCTATCCCATACATCGATTAAATTTATGTTGTATTCAATCTTATTCCCAAATATGTCACATGCTCCACCAACTCTGAGATCTCATCAAAAAAGCTACATACTCCATGACATTGCCACCGCCAATATGCAGATGCAACAGCTACACCTGTCATATTCTATGGGCACAAACTCTGTCTTAAACCCTTTTAATGATGGGAGCACTTTAAAAGAAAGAACAATTAATACAATATCAAATATCTGGATTTCTCAGTTGGCACCTGAACTTCCTGATTTTGTGACATTGGGTTGGAATCTTAGCCTCTCAGTTCTGTGACGGAAAAGAAAAATGTATAAACCAGTACTTGCCTACCACACAGAGTTGTTGTGGTGATCAAAAGACACCACGTAAAGCATATGTACAGATGTAATCAGTACACTAGTTATAGTATGGAAAAATTGGAACCAACCTAAATATATTCAATAAGAAGTGAATGGTCTTCTAAATGTTATTAACATTCATATTACGAATTATGTTTATTAAGAGACTGTCATTAAATTGAATATGTTATGACATAATATTTTAAAAAGATACAATACTTCTGATTAAGTTAAAATATATTTTTTAAATCCTGACAGAAAACACCTCATAATGTTAACAGTAGCAATCATTGGACAGTAAAATAATTGCTGAGTTTAAAAAATCATAATTTTCTTTATTTTATTGTTCTAAAATACATTTTTATAATAGTAACAGCATTTAAAACATGTGTAAAATACTCTGTACACCATAATATGCCACTAACGTATATGTCAATTAATATAACTATTTGAACAAATATAAAGGAAACATAATAAATTTATTTTCTGTTAATTTACCAATTTAGCTTATGTCCAAATATAAGTTTGAATTTCTTAACAACCTAGATGAAAAAAGTGCTAATATTCTACTATTGCACTTCAAGATATCAAAACATTAATAGATATCAAGCATAAGATAAGTAAAATATAAAATAAAGGTCTAGCTCACTTAATGAACTCAAATGTTAGCATATAATTCTGTTGACAAAATGACTATTCAAAATAAAAGCTAACTGAACATGGTGGTCATGATTATCTAGTACTATTTGTTAGAATTTTATTTTCTTAAAGAAAATATTTTATGCTCCAAAAATAATCTTCATTAGCTGATCATTAGTATTTTAAAGTTTTAAATATAATACAAATTCACTAAAAAATTAGTAATAACTCGACTATATGATGATTGCAAATAATTTAAAATATTGAGTTGTGAAATATTTCTGTAGAAGATGTATATCAAATATATTGGTTAAACAGATAATTTAAAAACTAATTTGACAGAATACTCAAATTTAATATATTTCCAATATCTGTTCAATGAGCTATTATTCACCATGGGAGTCAGATAATAAAAGCATAGGAGGTAATTCTTGACCTCTAAAACTTTTGATTTATACTATTCACATGATTACAGTCTAATTTTCCTATGATAAATATTTAAAATGTCATAGCTACATAATAAGGTAAATTTTGAAACTATTATATTCTATTAAGGCATCAAAAATTATCTGTGTATGTGTATATATGTGTTTTTATCTGCACATATTTGGTTTTTGTAAATTAAATGAAACATGTTCCAAATATTCTATTCCATTAGTCAAATTGAGATAAGAAAGTCTAAACAACCCTGAGATATATTTTCATTCCTCTTCACCATAAAGGAATGTGAGCCTTGTTCAAACTCATAAACCCAGTAAATGGCAGTCTGCCTGAAGTCAGAGCCAACTCACTTTCTACTATATCATATAACTTTTGCAATTACCACAAAAAAAATAATCACTCTCAGAATATCCTTACTCCCTCTGCAAAAAGGAACTCTCTCATGGTAAATAAAATAATAAATTAATATCAACAATTCTAAAATAAGTATTTTTCCACATTTTAACATCTCTAATGTTGAGATGTATCTAAAAATTGATGACACATTTAAAAATCAAGGGCATCTTATATCAGCAATTAAGCTATCTGTAGTAAAAGACTAATGTCTGATTGTATGTTTACCCTGATTCTTGGGTAGTTCTATCCTGTTCAATAAGAGTTTACTGATCATGTATGTGGATTTCTGAGAAAGGCAAATTGCTGTCAATCCTTCTAAACACTTCCTCTCAAATTCTTTTGATAGGTGTTCTAAGCATCTATGAACCACATTTTCAGTAGCACTGTCAGAGTGAATGAAATATTGTAATAACATTTATTGCATATAATTTAGAATCCCTTTTCATCAATATTTTATTATATATAATTCTGAATCATGATTAACCAATATATTTTCTTAAAGTGGGCCAAGTCATAAAATTGAATATTTCACTTTCTTTGCCAGAAAGAAATTAAATGGCTAAGGGCAGGATCAAGAGGAAGGAGAAAAGGGATTGGATAACCCATCCATTGGAAACATGATTCATGAATAATTAAGAATTATCTAGGTCAGTCAAATTAAGTATTTCTTGCTTCCGAGTATAGTCATTTGGTATCTCCTGATATTCTGGCTTACTCTGGTCCTTGAGTTACTTTGTCAATGATGGAAAATGTGCTTCTCTTTTATAGTAAAGCATATGTGTGATAAATGATTTGGTCACCCTTAAAAATAAGTTGTAACTGATGTTCTAAACCTAATGGTAAAGCTGAATAACTTATGGCATGAAAAAAATATGCTCTATTTCATTCGATGCTAAACAACCCAATTAAAAAAAAAGATTCTGCAAGTAAAAAGTGAAATATGATAAATCCAGACAGGAAATGTATTTATGAATAAGGAGAGAAGCAGATTAATACCATTAGCCTAAGTAAAACCCAAGCCTGGCTTATCCATTATAAGAACTTCAGCTTAAATTATTATTCTTCTATCACACCTTTTTACTATGACAACTTCTTACAAATGGTGTGTTTTTAAAATTCCTTTGTGTTAGAAGAGTCTCAAAATACAGTGCAGGTACTCGCTATTGAAATACTTCAGGGCTCAGAAACTGGTGTGAATGGAGATTTATCTGCTTTCTCAAAGGAATCTTCTTGTTCACTGCTGTAGCCCCTAGGTACTCTGTAGACGCCCAATCCATATTTGTTTACTTCAGAATGAATAACAAAGAGAGTCACCTTCAAGGAAGGAAAAGAGCACACTGTATCCTGATTGCTCCATTTCTATACAAGTGAGGCTTGCATCAATCACAACAAAATAAAATAATTCACCCCTTCCAGTCCAGGTAGGAGCAAGAAAGGGGAGATGAAAATGCAATCCTGGCAACTTGATCAAAACAAAGACGGGTTTTCCTACAGCATGTCTCCCACCACATGAGCCACATGAGCCTCCAAGGTTGAGTAATAAACTCCTATGTATTACAGAAGACATGCATTGATTGACTGGGCTGGCTAGAAGGAATCCCAGCTAGAAACACAGTCTAGTTTGCCTCACAGTTAGGAATGTGCTCTGGAGCCTCATTATTTAATTAAGAGTAGAAATTAAAACAGCACTAAATGCAATGAAGCAGCACAATTTGCAAGGGCTCTGAATTTATGGTTTCCATTAATTAACAAAAAGTAGTGTAGGCAAGTGAAATCAAGTGATCTGCTCAGCTATTAGAATTTTGAAAGTTAATTAATATAACAGCACAGATCATTGAACTTAGAAATTATGAGTAACATATAGAATTTTAAAGAGTATCATGATGTTTTATAATTACAGGATACTCCTCTGCTCCTTCAAATTGTATTCTTTTGAAGCTTGGTTCCTTAACTCAATTCAAGATCAGATATGGCTAAATGCATAAAAAGAAAAAACAATTAGAAAACTTGTGAATTCAATTCTGCAAACACTTCTAATAATTGATTTGCTTATTTACTTAATCAGCTGTGATTATTACAGACCATTAGCGGCCATTAATAAATAAAACTATTTGCATTTCACTAGTGTGTTTGAATTTCAGGCTTCTCAAATTTCTCTCAAGGGAATTTCCTATGACCATAGTTTAAAACACAGTTGGGCATATTCTCATTTCTCCTCTGGAATTGAGGTAAAACATGAGGAGAATTGGAGGCAGTGCAAATGGTCACCACTGCCATTATGTAATTTCTACATAACCTGTGCTCCTCATTGGGTTTCTCTTTAACAGCTCTAGAGCACTGAGGGATAATGTTCTTCATCTAAGTGATGAGCTGTGTAAATAAAAGTCAAGTCTTGCCATTCACATCCAAATTTAAGCTTGTTAAAAATAGATACGTGTTGTAACTTGGATTGCTTTTTCTCTGATGTCTTTATAGGTTCCTATTACAGCTCAGCACGTTTAAAATTACAGAGAAAAAAAATGGCATTTATAGTTAGGGCATCAATGATCTAAAATAAATTTTATCTGTATAAGCATAGATTCATATTTACTTCACAATTAGAATAATTATCATCTACTGCATCCCTAATATGTGCCTGATAATTTACTAGTGCTTTACATAGATTATCTTATCATTGCTGAAAAGAATCTTGAAAGGTAAGTCCTCATTTTATAAAAATGGAAGCTGTTATGGGCTGAATTTTGTCCCCCTCCAATTTATATATTGAAGTTTTAATCTTCAGTATTTTAGACTAAGTATTTGGAATTACTATTAGCAGACAGAGCCTTTAGAGAGATAATTAAGGCTAAAGGAGATTATAAGGGTGAGCTCTAATCTGATTGTTCTAAAAGAAAAAAAGAGATCAGGACATAGACAACACACAGATCAGGGAGGACCACATGAGGATACAATGAGAGGATGGCCATCTGCAAATTAAAGGGAGGGGCCTCAGCAAAAATCAAAGCTGCCAACACCTCCATCTTGTAGTTGCAGTCTCCAGAACTGTGACACAATAAATTCCTGTTGTTTAAGCCAGCCAGCTTACGGTATTTTGTTATACCAACAAAATACCCAGCAAACCAATACGAAAACAATGATGTTGAGATAGCAACTCTCCATTCTAATACCTGAGTATTTCACTCACTCTGTCTTACTAACATTACTAATGTATAAAATATCTAAAAAATGGGTGAGAAATACGTAAATCCATGCCTCTCTGCTCAAAGAAAATTCTTTCCACCACTCCAGTGATTTAAAAAGAAAAAAAAATGTTGTCAAGAGAAACATATAAAATCAGAACAGTAAAACATAAAAATACTCCTATGTTGAACAAAACATGAGTGAAGATCAGGTACCCATTGCCATACCCACTGGGCCACTGACACCTGATACTGCCCTTTCTCTGCCCTAGTAGCTAAAGAAGGACTCAGCTGAGAAATCACTGCAGTAGACAGTGCTACTGCTCTTAAGGAAGTTTGTCCACTCCAAGATTTGGGCTTTTGAATATTAAAAACTTCTTCCAACAACATATATTTTCATCCCAACCAGTAAAAATATAAGTAAAATCCTATCAGTAGCCCCAATTTTCTAAGAGTGAGAGCTGTCCAAAGTTATAATACACTCCTGTGAAGGGGGTAAGTTTCCTGTTCAAGCATAGGTCAGATGATGGATCACCCAGCAAGGTTGTTGTTGACTTAAAATCTCATCTGTGCTAGCATTTAAAAACTGCTTTGTGGAATTCTATGATCTTACAGAGCCACTTGCAAACAAGAAAAAGGGGTCAATGGAGTGTACAGTTGCTGAGTACTAAGCAACGTTGATTATGCATCTTTATGCATTTTACTTGTAGCTAAAATTGTATGGTTGGGAGATAATTCCTAAGAGCTGGCAAAGGGCAGCAGAAAACAATTAGCGTTTTTAACAGCTTTATTGAGGTGAAACTGATATACAGGAAACCACAGATATTTGTAGTGTATAATTTGATAAGTTTTGACGTATGTACATGCCCATGAAACAGCCACCAAAATCAACATAATGAATATATTCATTATTCCAAATAGTCTCCTAGATACCCTTCATAATTTTGCCCTCCAGCCCTTCCCAGCCTCCACACCTTGCCACCCCATAAGCACCACCAAACAAAAACTGACCTATTTTCTGTGACTAAATATTTATTTACATTTCCTATAATTCTACAAAAATGGAATTATTCACTATGTTCTTTCTGTCTGGCTTTTTGAGATAATTGTTTTGAGACTCATCCATGTTGTGTGTATACATAGTATATTCCTTTTTTATTGCTGAGTAGTATTTCATTGTATGGAGATATCACAGATTGTTTATCAATTCACTTGTTCATGAACATTAGTGTTTTTTTTTCCAATTACGGCTATTACAAATAAAGCTGCTATGAACATTCATGTACAAATCTTTGTACAAATGTATGCTTCCATTTCTCCTGGGTGTTTACCCAGGAGAGAAATGGCAGAGCAACATAAGCATGTGCTTCAATTCTTAAGAAACTGCCAAACTGTTTGCAAAGTGGTTTTACCGTTTTACATTTCCACAAGCAGAGTATGAAAGTTCTAGTCTCTCTATATTCTTGCCAATATGATCAGCTTTTCAAATTGTAGACATTCCAGTAGACGTGTAGCTATATTTCCTTAGTGTTTTAAATTGCATTTCTTCAAAGCCTTAAAATGTTGAGCACCTTTTCACACGCTTATTTGCCATCAAATATCTTCTTTCGTGATATGCCTATTTTTTTATTGACACATAATGATTGTATATATTTATGGGTTACATATGACATTTTGATACCTATATACAACGTGTAATGATCAAATTGGAGTAATTGGGATATCACCTCAAACATTTACCATCTCTTCATGTTGGGAACATTCCAAATCTTCTCTTCTCACTATTTGGAAATATACAATAAGTTATTTTTAAGTAGTCCTCCTACTGTGCTATTGAACACCACTAGAACTTACTCCTTCTATTTAACTGTATTGTTGTACCTAAAAACCAATCTCTTTTCATCCTCTATTTCCCACTACTCTTCCCAAGTCTAGTAACCACAATCCTACTCTCTACCTCCATATGATCCACATTTTTAGCTCCCACATATCAGCGAGAACATGTGATATTTGCTTTTCTGTGCCTGGCTTATTTTACTTAAAGTAATGTCCTCTAAGCTCATCCATGTTGCTGCAAATGACAGGATTTCATTATTTTTTAATTTTTGCCTATTTTTGAAATTGAGTTGTTTTCTTTTTGAATTCTGATGGTTCTTCATGTGTCCAGAATACATATCCTTTATCAGATGTATGCTTTGTAAAATTATCCCATTTTGTAGCTTATTTTTATTCCCTTAACAATCTATTTCCAAGAGCAGAAATTTTTAATTTTGGCCAAGTTTTATCAATTTGCTTTAAGGATTGTACTTTTGACATCACATGTAAGAAATCTTTGCCTAGCCCAATATCACAAAGATTCTTTTATGTCTCCTTCAAAAAACTTTCATAGTTTTTGTTTTACATTTAGATCTATGATCTGTTTTAAATTACATATTTTCTGTTGCATTCCTTTTTGCTGCCTATGGACATCCAATAATTTTAGCATCATTTGTTGAAAAACAACAGCAGAACTACCCACTGAATTGGCTTTGCAGCTTTGTAGAAATTCAGCAGTCTATGTGTGCATGAGTAAGTCTATTTCTGGGCTCTCTTCTTCTGTTCCATTGATATATTTATCTATTGTTATGCCAACACCGTACTTTCTTGATTGTTGTAGATTTGTAAGCTTTGATATCAGGTAATGTTAGTGCTCTAACGTGTCTCCTACTGCAAAGTTGTTTTGACTATTCTGGGTCCTTTACATTTCCACATGATTTTTAGAATAAGTTAATCAATTTCTACCAAAAAATTAGATGCTGAGTTTTTGGGTAGGACTGTATTAAATCTACAATTTGGGGAGAAATGGCTTTTAACAATATTGTATCTTCTAACCCATGATCCTGACATATATTCCCCGTGGACTTAGGGCTTTATTTCTGTCAGTAGTGTTTTGCAATTTTCAGCATACAATTCTTTCAAATATTTTATCAGATTTATCCCAAACTATTCCATACCTTTTCTCTCTATTGTGATATTGCTTTGTGAGTTTAAATATTATTTGTTGCTAGTATATAAAAATATATTTAATTTTTAATATTTGTCTTATGTCTTGCCAACATGCTAAATTTATTAGTCCCAGTATCTTTTTTACAGATTTTATCAGATTTTTGACAATCAGCCATCTGCAAATAAAGACAGTTTTACTTCTTTTCCAATCAAAACAACTTTAATTTCTTTTTTTTGCCTAATTTTACTTGCCAGAACCTCTGTATAATGTTTAATAGAAGTAGTGAGAGTATACATTCTTCTCTTGTTCCTCATTATACTAGGAAAAATTCACTATTTTCACCATTAATTATGATATCAGCTATAAGGGTTTTTTTGTAGATGCCCTGTAACAAGTTGAGGAGCTTCTCTTCTATTCCTACTTAGCTCAGACTTTCTGTCAAAAGGAATACTAGTGGATAAAGAAACTGTGTGGGGTGTGTGTGTGTGTATATATATATATATATATATATATATATACATACATATATGATGGACTACTACTCAGCCATAAAAATGAATGAATTGACAGCATTAGCAGCGACCTGGATGAGATTGGAGACTATTATTCTAAGTGAAGCAACTCAAGAATGGAAAACCTAATATCATATGTTCTTAATGATATGTGAGAGATAAACTATAAGGATGCAAAGGCTAAGAATGATACAATGGACTTTGGGGACTTGGGGGGAAGAGTGGGAGGGGAGTGAGGGATCAAAGACTACAAATATAGTGCAGTGTATACCTCTTGGGTGATGGGTGCACCAAAATCTCACAAATCACCACTAAAGAACTTACTCATGTAACCAAATACCACCTGTACCCCAATAACTTATGGAAAAATAATTTTAAAAATAAATACAATTTTAAAAGAATACTAAATTTGTCAAATGCTTTTTATGTACCTATTGAGATGATCAAATGTTTTCTTTCTTTTATTTAACTTTTAAGTTCATGGGTACATGTGCAAAATGTACAGGTTTATTACATAGGTAAACATGTGTCATAAGGGTTGTACAGATTACTTCACCACCCAGGTATTAAGCCTTGTACTCATTAGTTGTTTTTCCTGATCCTCTCCCTCCTCGCCCCCTCCACCCTCTTATAGGCCCCAGAGTGTGTTTTTCCCCTCTATGTGTCCATGTGTTCACATCATTTAGCTTCCACTTGTAAGTAGGAACAGGAACATTTATTTTGTTTTCCGTTCCTGTGTCAGTTTGCTAAGGATAATGGCCTCCAGCCCCATCCATGTCCCCGCAAAGGACATGATCTCATTCTTTTTTATGTTTTTTTTAAAATTTGTTAATTAGTTAGTTCATAACCATATTACACTACATTCCTGGGATAAACCTCATTTGGTCATTACGCATTATCCTTTGTACACATTGTTTGATTTTCTAAAATATTTATTTAGAGATTTTACATTAATATTAATGAAGGATATTGGGCTACAGTTAGTTTTTCCTCTTGGAATTTTTTTATCTAGTTTTGGTACCATGACAATGCTGGTCACATGATTTGGGAAGTATTTTCTTAAATTTTACAAAAGAGTTTTTATAGAATTGATATTATTTCCTCCTTAAATGTTTAGTAGAATTTACCAGCGAAGCCTTATAGGTCTGGAGTTTTCTTTGTTGGACATTTTGAACTACAAATGCAATTTGTTTATATATAAGTACACTGCTATTCAGGTTATTGATTTCTTATTGAATGAGCTTTGGTAATTTGTGTCTTTCAATGAATATGCTCATTACATCTAAGTTGTTGAATTTCTTGGCATAAAATTATTCACAGTATTTTTTTTTTTTTTTTTGAGACAGAGTTTCACTCTTGTTGCTCAGGCTGGAACGCAATGGCACAATTTCAACTCACTGCAACCTCTGCCTCCCAGGTTCAAGCAATTCTCTTGCCTCAACCTCCCGAGTAGCTGGAATTACAGGTGTGTGCCATCATGCCCGGCTTTTTTTTTTTTTTTTTTAATGTATTAGTAGAGACGGGGGTTTCACCATGTTGGTCAGGCTGGTCTTGAACTCTTGACCTCAGGTAATCCTCCCGCCTCGGCCTCCCAAAGTGCTGGGATTACAGGCATGAGCCACCACACCCACCCCACAATATTTTCTTGTCTTTTTAGTAGGTGTAGAATCTACAGTAATGTCACCTTTCTCATTTTGATTGTGGCAATTTACATCTTCACTCTCTTGTTTTCTTATCAGTCTGGCTAGAGATTGATCAATTTCATTAATCTTCTCAAAGACCCAGTTTTTTGTTTCATTGATCTTATCTATTTTCCTGTTTGCTGTTTTACTGATTTTTTCTCTGATATTTAGTATTTCCTTTTTTCTGCTTAGTTTTAATTTGTACTTATCTTCTGGTTGCTTAGAGTGGAAGCTGAGGTCACTAATTAGAGATCTTTATTCATTTCCAATATAAGCATTTAGTGCTAAAAATTTCCCCCAAAGTACTGCTTTAGCAGCATCTCACAAAGTCTGATTATGTTGTATATCCATTTGTATTTAGTTCAAACTACTTTTTATTTTCCATTTTTGATTCCTTATTTGACCCATGGGTTATTTAGAAGTGTGTTATAATTGGTTTTCAAATATTTAAGGAATTTTTTCAAATATCTTTCTGTTACTAATTTTACATTATTTCCATTGTGGTCTGAGAATATATTTGTATGAATTTGGATCATTTTAAATTTATTGAGATTTGTTTTATGGCCCAGTAGGGTTTACCTCTGTAGTTATTCTGAGTCATCTGAAAAGTTCAGTTACTTGGTTACAGTTTGGTCCCTTCTGGTTTTCTTTTATAACTTATTAGATAGGTTCAAAGCACTACTAGGGCTATTTATTCCTGTTGGGGCAATGGAAAACTTCCCTTTCACCCTCTGAAGGTTTGCTGAAAATCAACTGACAAGACACAAATTAATAGGATAAAATGCTTACAAATTTATTTAACCATAATTTTATGCGACAGAAAAGCCTTCAGAATGAAGGCCCAAGACACAGGAGAAGCTGTTCATTTTTCTGCATAGGTTCAGCCAAGTATGAACAGCTGTGTAGAAATATAATTGGACACAAAGGATATGAGCCAATGTTTATAGATGGAGGGGAAATCCCAGCAAGGCCTATCTATTTAGATTCCTCTTGGGGACTCTCTCTGAAGCATTTCTTCCTTCTGGGTATGGGGAAGGACCCATTCTGAAATGGGGATCCTATGGCTTACAATCAAACATGGTAGGCCAGATAATTTCTTTATGACCAGCTTTTACACAGAAAGGTGGAGGGAAAGTTACAGTAACGTTTATTTTGAGGTTTTATGAATAGCTTTGGGAAAAGGGGCTCTGGTGTCTCTGACTTGCCTTGGAGAAGAGGGATTCTGGTTTGTTTGGCTAGCCTCAAGGGAGAATGAGAGACAGGAGAACAAGAGGAGTTCAGAGAGAAACTTTGCTTCTGAGACTTCTTCTGATGCCTTCATTTGGAGGTATCATTTTCTAGCCCCAACCTCCCCACTACTGAGTATTCTCCCGATCACTCACTAATTATAAATTTTTCAGTCTGGCTAGTAGGAGCAGACACTTTACCCTGTGAGTGTCAGACACTATTCCTTTTAATCCTTTCAAATTATTCTTCTCCCAGTGACTTTGATGGTCAGTACGGAGACCCGAGGGGGATCCTCTGAAGATCTCCAGCATTCTCTCACTGTGTAGTTGTCTCTCCTTTCTAGTACTCTGTCGTGGAAACTCTAGAATACTGAGTTTCCCCAGACTCTCAGCTCTGTCTTCTCAAATCAGGGAGTCTGACAGGTGCTGGCTGGGTTCACCCTCCCAGTACAATAGCCTAGAAACTCTCTTAAGACTGTAACCTGGGACAATCATAGGCAATACCTCATTTGCCTTCTGTCTCACAGGTTACTAAGTTTCGTGGCCTGATGCCTTTTGTCTTAAAATCTATTGTTTCATATATTCTGTCTACTTTGAAGGGGTTGTTTCACATAATACCCTAAATCTAGTTTCTGCTACTGTACTGTGACCAGAAGTGGAAATCTCTACAATTAATGTTTGTTTTTGTTTGTTTTAAGTTCTAGGGTACATGTGCACAACGTGCAGGTTTGTTACATAGGTATACATGTGCCATGTTGGTTTGCTGCACCCATCAACTTGTCATTTACATTCTCCTAATGCTATCCCTCCCCCAACTACCCCCTCTCAACAGGCCCCAGTGTGTGATGTTCCCAGCCCTGCATCCAAGCATTGTTCAATTCCCACCTATGAGTGAGAACATGTGGTGTTTGGTTTTCTGTCCTTGTGATAGCTTGCTGAGAATGGTTCCTAGCTTCATCCATGTCCCTGCAAAGGACATGAACTCATCCTTTTTTTATGGCTGCATACTATTCCATGGTGTATATGTGCCACATTTTCTTAATCCAGTGTATCATTGATGGACATTTGGGTTGGTTCCAAGTCTTTGTTATTGTGAATAGTGCCACAATAAACATACATGTGCATGTGTCTTTATAGTAGCATGATTTATAATCCTTTGGGTATATACCCAATAATGGGATTGCTGGGTCAAACAGTATTTCTAGTTCTAGATCCTTCCATAATGGTTGAACTAATTTACACTCCCACCAACAGTAATTAAAATGCATTTACCTACTAAGAGTTATTTATAATAGTGTTATTTATTGTATGAATAATACTGATAGTTTTAAATTTTGATAGATAAAACTGTTAGACCAAACTGCACCATTTTGTAAGCTCCCTGCTATTTTTTATACCTTGGTCAAAGTGAAATATTTCACAGGGGTTCGAGTCATGAGAAAGATCCTGCCTAACCACCTGACCACAAGGTGGACAAAGGCCGAACTAAAGAAACATCCCTATCATATCTTGCTGGACAAAGGCTTGGAGCACCAGGATGGCATCCCCCTGGAACAAGGGCCAGAACCGCCTCATCATGGGAACATCTTATCAATATCCTGCCGGGCAGCCCATACCAATAAGTACCCCCAGCCTGTAACCAACTGTGGGCTCTGGCATTAGGCTGGTGCTCCACTTCTGTAGGTTTTATGCTGAGCATAAAGCCTGCATTTGCTGTTAAGCCGCCCTCTTTCTGTGTGTTGGTGTGTGTGTGTGTGTGTGTGTCTTTAACACTCACCTTCCCTTCAAAACCTAACAAAAATCAAATAAAAAGGGATTATTTTGAGCTTGAAACATTACTAAGGTTTCACTAGTGAGAGGTAATACCTTAAACAGTTAACAGCTTAAACTCAGTTTTGCCAACTGAAAAAATAACAAGATTAGAGATCATCATCAAATCTGCTCCTACTAAACTCGAAAACTGTATACTTCTGAGAAGGGCAGAAATAGAGAGAGGGGTAGAAAATGTTGACAAGGGACAAAATAAAGCGCATGAGTATCTGAAGAAAAAGAAGAGGTGGTGGGAAGTGGGAAAGGTGCCTAGAGAAGAAAGCAGCAGAGCACCCTGGCTACACAATTATATCTTCTGCCTTCATGAATTATTAAAAATCATCTCCATGCTGCTTCTGCCATAGTCACAGGTTGTCAACACCACTGTTAGAACACTAGTTATAATTTGGAAGTTGGCATATATCACCTTTCAGGACCGTTTAATCTCCCTGTTATATCCAAATCCATACTTCATTGCTGAGTGTCTTTCTCTTCAGTATAATGTACATCATCTTTTTGGTCAGAGAAGAAAAACGAAAGGATTTGAAAAAAAATAAAAGAACCTATAAACCTATAAGTTTGTATAGAGAAAAAGAGGGTCTGACAGATTGATTAGTTGAATTTCTGTAAATATATTCTAGCTTTCTTTGTCACTATTTACAAGTACAATGTAATATTTTTGAAAATTCTCATAAAAATAATCCTTGTTTCTTCCTTCTGATATGGTCTTAGATTATCAAGGATTGATATTTTTTAAAGTGGTATATCACAGTTTGTATATCTACTGAAAACCATTGTTATATACCTACTGAATCAATGAAAAATACCAACTCATCATATTTTACAATGTTCCTTCCATCTAGAAAAACAAATTCATTTTAGAATTTAGAACAAGGAAAACATCTATCTTTCTTACAAATGTGAATGTTTATTTTCATTAGATAATGAACATAATCCACCATGTTTAATGCTTTTCCTTTGCTGCTGGAAGCTCAGAACAAGCATAATACTTAATAGAGGAAAATACATAGAATTCATGCCTCCTCACCTGCTCCTCTTCTAGACATCATTAATCACACATGACAAGCTTTCCTAGCTGAACCTACTTGGACTCAAGATCTTTCTCAACATGATATTCCAGGTATCCGCAACCAGTTGAGCAGGTATCCACAACCAATGGAGAATTTACATATGACATGAGATGGCGTTAACTATCCTAGATGATAGCTATATCTGCTACCCATCCTGCAAAAAATTTATTGAATTTTTCCTATGTGTATTTGATAAACATATTGACATGTGTCTTTTAGTGTAAGTATAATCAAATTATTTTTGGAAATTAAGGGATCTCACAGCTCTCATGACTACAAGAAGGTTTGAGTATACTTGGAAATGTACATAAAGCAGTCCCTGAGGATAATTAGTATTTTATAAAAAGCTAACTGATAGAAAATGCAAATACAATGAAGTCTAAGCTTTCTATGTAAGTAGTAAAATTAAAATTTTTGACAGGTAAAACTGAAAATTATGAAAATAATTACCCTTTAACACACACACACACACATACATACACATGTATATTAGTTATAATTGCAGCTGTGCAATTACAGTTTTTGAAGCAAAAAAGATTGGATCAAATAAGCATGTCAGGCATAAGAGGCAGTATAATTTTTTTCTAATAAAGCTGATTGTTAAAACTATACAGCTTAATTCCCAGCTATACAAATAGGATAGAATAGGATCTAAGAAGTGGTGCCAGTACACAAACTAGTTTCCCTGGTCTACAACAAGATATGTACATAAACAAAAGTAGGTGGTTTAGAAACTTTTACAGCAATTGCTATATCTACAGAAATTTACAAAAATATCAGTCTAGGAGGGCAGCACAAGATGGCAAAATAGAAGCCTATACCATTCGTTCCCCCATCCCCCACAGGAAGACCAAATTTTAACAACTATCTGCACACAGAAAAGCACCATCACAGGACCCAAAAATAAGTGAGCTATCACAATACCTGGTTTTACTTCACGTCGTGGAAAGAGGCATTTAAGAAGGTAGGAGAGACAGGCTTGAATCGCAGACGCCACCCCTCTCCCACCTCCCAGCAGCAGCCCTGTAGCACAGAGAGAGTCTGTGCTCTTGGGGAAGGGAGAGCGCACTGAATGGGGGACTTACATTGAACTCAGTGCTGCTGTTTCACGCAGACAGCAAAACCATGCTGGGCTCAGCCAGGGCCTGAACAAGGAGGGAACATTCGAACACACCCTAGCCAGAAGAAAGTTGCCCTTCCCAGGCATATGAACTTGAGTTTCTTGGTAAGCCTTGCCAACATGGGCCAAAGCATTCTGGGGTCATAGGTAAGCTCAAAAGGCAGTCTAGGACACAAATACTATATAGTACTATATAGAATTATAATTCCTAGGCAACTCCTAGTGCTGGGCTGGGCTTAGAACCAGTGGACTAGGGTAGCACATGACCTAGGAAGACTCCAGCCAGGGTGGCCAAGGGAGTGCTTGTGCCACCTCTCCTTCAACCCCAGGCAGTGCAGCTGGAAGCTACAAAAGTGACTCCTTCCTTCTGCTTAATGAGAGGAGAATGAAGAATAAAGATGACTTTGTCTTGCATCTTGGGTACCAGCTCAGCCATAGGAGGATAGGGCACTGGGCAGAGTCATGAGGCCTCCAATCCAGGCCCCAGCTTACAGATGACATTTCTAGAAACACTATGGGACAGAAGGGAACCCACTGCCTTGAAGGGAAGGACCCAGTCCTGGTGAGATTCATCACCTGCTGACTAAGGAGCCCTTGGGCTCTGAATAACCGGTGGCAATACCAAGGTAATATACTATGGGCCTTGGGCTCTGAGATGTGCTGGCTTTAGATGCCATGCAGTACATTCCCAGCTGTGGTGGCTATAGTGAAGTAAAAGGGACTTTGTCTTACACCTTATGTACCAGCTTGGCCATAGTGAGGTAGAGCAACAAGCAGGCTTTTGGAGTCCCCAAGTCCAGACCTAGGCTCTTGGAACAATTTCTGGATGAGCCCAGGCCAGAGGGGAGCCCAGTGCCCTGAAGGACGAGTTCCAGGTCTGGAAGCAATCACTACAGGCTGACTGAAGAGCCCTTGGACTTTAAGTGAACATCAGCAGTGGCCTGGCAGAACCCCCTGTGGGCTGTGGTGATAGTGGCCACAGGGAGAGGCTCTCTGCCTATTGAAAGGTAAAGGAACAGCAGGAAAATCTTTGTATTGTGGTATGAGTACCAGGTTAGCCACAGTAGAATAGAACATAAGCTAAATTTCTAAGGTTTTTGACTCTAATCTCTAGCTCCCAGATAGTATCTATGGACCTTCCTGGGCCATAGGAGAACTCACTGTCCTGAAAGGAAGGACATAAACCTGGCTGGCTTTGCTACCTGCTGATCATAGGACCTTAGTCACATCAAAGAGCAAAATCATGCTGGGCTCAGCCAGCGCCTGGGAAGGGAGGGTGCATGTGGATCCACCCTAGGGTACTGATTGAACATAGGTGGTAGCCAGGCAGTGGTTACAGTAGGCCTTGCGTGACAGCCAGTGCTGTGCTGGCTTCAGGTCTGACCAAACACAGTCCAAATGGTGGTGGCCATATGGTGCTTGCATGACCACACCCCTAGTTCCAGATGGCTTAGCCAGAGAAATTCCAAATGTATGGGAGGAATTAAAGGAAAAGAATAATAGTCTCTGCCTGGTAATCCAGAGAATTCTTCTGAATCTTATCCAAGACCACCAAGGTGATACTTCTATGAGTCTACAAAAACCACAGTATTATTGGGCTTAGGGCCCAAGTCTCTTCAAATACCTGGAAAGCCATACCAAGAAGGACAGATGAAAATAAGCCCAGACTGCAAACACTATAATAAATATCTTCAATGTTCAGACACCAAAGAACATCTATAAGCATCAAGAACATCCAGGAAAACATGGCTTCACCAAATGAGCTAAAGAAGGCACCAGGGACCAATCCTGGAGAAACAGAGATATGTGACCTTTCAGACAGAGAACTCAAAATAGCTATTTGAAAAAACTCAAAGAAATTCAAAATCACACAGAGAAGGAATTCAGAATTGTATCAGATAAAATTAACAAAGAGATTGAAACAATTAAAAAGAATTAAGAAGGAATGCTAGAGTTGAAAAATGGAACTGACATGCTGAAGAATACATCAGAGACTCTTAATAGCAGAATTGATAAAGCAGAAGAACTAATGAGCATGAAGACCAGCTATTTGAAAGTACAGTCAGAGGAGACAAAAAAGAAAAAAAGAATTAAAAACACATCAATATGGCACATGTATACATATGTAACAAACCTGCACATTGTGCACATGTAGCCTAGAACTTAAATAACAAAAAAAACAAAAAGTCACACCTGCATGATCTAGAAAATAGCCTCAAATAACCAAATCTAAGAGTTATTTGATACAACAAGGAGGTAGAGAAAGATATGGGGTAGAAAGTTTATTAAAAGGGGTAATAATGGAGAACTTCCCAAACCTAGGGAAAGATATCAATATCAAAGTAGAAGAAGGTTATAGAACACCAGGCAGATTTAACCCAAAGAAGACTACCTCAAGACATTTAATAATGAAAGTCCCAAAGGTTAAGCATAAAGAAAAGATCCTAAAAGCAGTGAGAGAAAAGAAACAAATAACGTAAAATGGAGTGCCAATACATGTGACAGGAGACTTTTCAGTGGAAACCTTAAGACCAGGAAAGAGTGGCGTGACATATTTAAACTGTTGCAGGAAAATAACTTTTACTGTATATAGTATATCCAGAGAAAATAACCTTTAATAATGAAGGAGAAATAAAGACCTTCCCAGACAAACAAAAGCTGAGGGATTTCATCAATACAAGACCTATCCTACAAGAAATGCTAAAGAAAGTTCTTCATTCTGTAATAAAAGGATGTTAATCAACAAGAAGAAATCATCTGAACGTACAAAACTCATTGGTAATAGTAAACATACAGAAAAACACAGATTATTATCACACTGTAATTATGGTATGTAAACCACTCTTAAGTAGAAAGACTAGATGATGAACCAATAAAAAAAAATAACTACAACAATTTTTCAAGACGTAGTGCAATAAGACAGAAACAGAAACAACAAAAAGTTAAAAAGTAGGGAAAAAAGTTAAAGTGTAGCATTTTATTAGTTTTTCTTTTGTGTGTTTATGTGATCAGTGTTAAGTGGTCATCAGTTTAAAATCATAGGTTACAGGACAGTATTTGCAAGCCTAATGGTAACCTCAAATCAAAAACGATGCAATAGACAAGCAAAAAATTAAAGAAATTATATCATACAACCAGAGAAAATCACCTTCACTAAAAGTAAGACAGGGAAAGAAGAAAGAGAAGACCACAAAAAAAAAAAAAAAAAAAAGAAAACAAATAACAAAATGGCAAGGCAAGGTAACTCCCTACTTATCAATAATAACATTGAAGGTAAATGGGCTAAACTCTCCAATCAAAAGCTGTAGAATGGCTGAATGAAGAAACAAGATCCAATGATCCGTTGTCTACAAGAAATACACTTTACCTCTAAAGATACACACAGGTTAAAAATTAAAGAAATGAAAAAAGATATTCCATGACAATGCAATCCAAAAAGGACAAAAATAGCTATACTTATATCAGACAAAATAGATTTCAAGACAACTGTGAGACAAAGAAGGTCATTATATAATAATAAAGGGGTCAATTAAGCAGGAGGATATAATAATTTTAAATATATATGCACCCAACAATGGGGCACACAGATATATAAAGCAAATATTATTAGCACTAAAGAGAGAGATAGACCTCGATACAATAACAGCTGGAGACTCCAACACTCCACTTTCAGCATTGGACAGATCTTCTAGACAGAAAATCAACGAAGAAACAGTAGACTTAATCTGCAGTATAGAACAAATGGTTCTAACAGATATTAATAGAATGTGTCATGCAACCACTACAGAAGTCACATTCTTCTCCTCAGCATATCGATCATGCTCAAGGACAGACTGTATGTTAGGTCACAAAATAAGTCTTAAAACATTCAAAAAAACTGAAGTAATGTCAAACATCTTCTCTGACCATAATGGAATAAAACTAGAAATCAATAATGAGGAATTTTGCAAACCATGCAAATACATGGAAATTAAACAATATGCTCCAGAATGACTAGTGGATCAAGGAAGAAATTAAGAAAATTGAAAAAGTTATTGAAATAAATGGTAACAGAAGTATCAAAAACCAAAACCTATGGGATACAGTGAAAGAAGTAGTAAAAGGGAAATTTATAGCTATTAGTGCCCACATCAAAAAAGAAGAAAACATTCAAATAGATAACCTAAAAATGCATCTTAAAGAATTAAAAATAACAAAAGCAAGCTGAACTCACAATTTGTAAAAGAAAAGAAATAATAAAAATTAGAGCAGAAATAAACGTATTTGAAATGAATAACACAATATAAAAGATCAATGAAACAAAAAGTTGGTGTTTTGAAAAGATCAAAATTGGCCGGGCACGGTGGCTCATGCCTCTAAATCCCAGCACTTTGGGAGGCCGAGGCAGGTGGATCACCTGAGGTCAGGAGTTCAAGACCAGCCTGGCCAACATGGTGAAACCCCATCTCTACTAAAAATACAAAAATTAGCCAGGCGTGCCAGTGGGCACCTGTAATCCCAACTACTCGGGAGGCTGAAGCAGGAGAATCGCTTGAACCAGGGAGGCAGAGATTGCAGTGAGCTGAGACCATGCCATCGCACTCCAGCCTGGGCAACAGAGAAAGACTCCATCTCCAAAAACAAAAAAAAAAAAAAAAAAGAAAGATCAAGATTGACAAACTATTAGTCAGACTAAGAAAAACAATGGAAAAGACCCACATAAATAAAATCAGAGATGAAAAAGAAGACATTACAACTGATACTGCAGAAATTCAAAGTATCATTAGTGGCTACTATGGCAACTATATGCCAATAAATTGGAAAATCTCCAGGAAATGGATAAATTCCTAGAGACATACAACCTATCAAGATTGAACCATGAAGAAATCCAAAACCTGAACAGACCAGTAACGAGATTGAAGTCATAATAAAAAGTCTTCTAGTAATGAAAAGCCCAAGACCTGATGGCTTCACTGCTGAACTCTGCCAAACATTTAAAGAATACCAATCCCACTCAAACTGTTCTGAAAAACAAAGCAGGAAAGAATGCTTCCAAACTAATTCTATGAGGCCACTCTTACCTTGGTACCAAAACCAGATAAAGATACAGCAAAAAAAAAGAAAACTACAAGCCAAAATTTCTGATGAATAGTAATGCAAAAATCCTCAACAAAATACTAGAAACCAAATTCATCAAAACATTAGAAAAATCATTTATCATGACCAAGTGGGACTTACCCCAGGGACATAAGGATGATTGAACATATGCAATTCAATCAATGTGATACATCATATCAACAGAATGAAGGACAAAAACCATATGATCATTTCAATTGATGCTGAAAGCAGTTGATAAAATTCAACATCCTTCATGATAAAAGCCCTCAAAAATAAAAAACTGGGTATAGGAGAAACATACCTCAACATAATAAAAGTCATATATGAAAGACCCACAGCTATTATCACACTGAATGAGGAAAAATTGAAAGTCTTTCCTTCAAGAACTGGAATATGAAAAGAATGCTCACTTTTGACAACTGTTAGTCAACATATTACTGGAAGTTCTAACTAAAGCAATCAGACAAGAGAAGGAAATAAGAACATCTAAGTTGTAAAGGAAGAAGTTAAATGATCCCTGTTTGCAGATATAATCTTACATTTGGAAAAAATCTAAAAATCCCGCAAAAAAACCATTGGAACTGATAAAAAATTCAGCAAAGTTGCAGGATACAAAATCAATATACAAAAATTAGTAAAATTTCTATATGCCAACAGTGAACAATGTAAAAAGGAAATAAAAAAGTAATTCAATTTACAGTAGCCACAAATAAAATTAAATACCTAGGAATTAAGTTAAGCAAAAAAGTGAAGGATCTCTACAATGAAAACCGTGAAAGGCTGATGAAAGAAGTTGAAGAGTTCACCAAAAATTGGAAAGATATTCTATATTTATGGATCAGAAGAATCAATACTGTTAAAATATCCATACTACCCAAAGCAATCTACAGATCCAATGCAATTTCTATGAAAATACCAATAACATTCTTCACAAGAGAAATAGAAAAAACAATCCTAAGACTAATATGGAATCACAAAAGACCCAGAATGGCCAAAGCAAAAAGAACATGACTGAAGGAATCACATTACCTGACCTCAAATTATACTACAGAGATATAGTAACCCCAAACAGCATGGTATTGGCATAAAAACAGACAAATGGACAAATGGAACAGAATAGAGAACCCAGAAACGAATCCACACACCTACAGTTAACTCATTTTTGACAAAGGTGCCAAGAACATACATTGGGAATAAGACAGCCTTTTTAATAAATGCTGGGAAAACTGGATATCCATAAGGAGAAGAACAAAATTACACTGATATCTCTCACAATATACAAAAATCAAATTAAAATGATTTAAAGACATAAATCCAAGACCTCAAGTTATGAAACTACTACAAGAAAACATTGGAAAACTCTCCAGGACATTGGTCTGGCCAAACATTTTTTGAGAAATATCCTACAAGCACAGGCAACCAAATCGGAAATGAGTAAATGGGATCACATCAAATTCAAAAGCCTCTGCACAGTCCAAAAAACCATCAACAAAGTGAAGACACAATCCACAGAATGGAAGAAAATATGTGCAAACTACCCCTCTGACAAGGGATCAATAACCAGAATATGTAAGGAGCTCAAACATCTCAACAGGAAAAAATCTAAAAATTTGATTTAAAAATGGGCATAAGATTTGAATAGACATTTCTCAAAAGAAGACATACAAGTTACAAAGAGGCCTATGAAAAGGTTCTCAACATCATTGATCTTCAGAGAAGTACAAATCAAAACTCCAATGAGATATCATCTCACCCCAGTTAAAATGGCTTTTATCCAAAAGACAAGCAATAAAAAATACTGGCAAGGATGTGGAGAAAAGGGAACCCTCATACACTGTTGGTGAGAATGTAAATTAGTACAACCATTATGAAGAACAGTTTGGAGGTTCCTCAAAAAACTAAAAATAGAGCTACCATATGCTCCAGCAATCCCACTGCTGGGTATATATCCAAAAGAAAGAAAATCAGTATATCAAAGAGGTATCTGCACACCCATGTTTGTTTTAGCACTGTTCACAGTAACCAAAATTTGGAAGCAACCTAAGTGTCCATCAACATATGAATGGAAAAAGAAAATGTGATGCTTATACACAATGGAGTACTATTCAGCCATTAAAAAGGAATCAGATCCTGTCATTTGTGTCAACATGGATGCAACTGGATATCACTATGTTAAGTGAAATAAGCCAGGCACAGAAAGACAAACACGTTCTCACTTATTTGTGGGATCTAAAAATCAAAACAATTGAACTCATGGACATAAAGAGTAGAAGGATGGTTACCAGAGGCTGGGAAGAGTAGTGGGGGACTGGTGGGGGAAGGTGGGGATGGCTAAAGGGTGAAAAATAGTTAAAATGAATAAGACCTAGTATTTGATAGCACAAAGAGTGACTATAGTCAATAATTATTTAATTGTATATTTTAAAAGAACAAAAAAAGAGTATAATTGGATTGTTTGTAACACAAAGGATAAATGCATGAAGGAATGGAGATCCCATTTTCCATGATGTGATTACTATGTATTGCATGCCTGTATCATAATATCTGATGTACCCCATAAATACATACATCTACTATGTAACCACAAAAAAAATTATAAATTTTTGAAATATGTATAAAATGGTTTAAGTAAAACACAAAGAACAACAACAAAAAAAAAACCCTGGTCTTTTACCACTAAATTTTTGAGAAACACTGACATTCCTTTAGATGTGCAAAGGAAGAACAAAAGTCATATATTTGCGAAACATTTAAAGAATTCCCTCACTTTGTGAAAATTATCAAAATTTTTTCTTGTCTAAGATGTCTTATTTACAATACAGCGATCATAATGGCACCTACCTAATATGATTGCTATCACTACGGAATAAAATAATCTAGGCCTGTGGTCACCTGGACACAGGGCAACCAAGAAGAAACACTACATTTCCCTGCCATCCTTGAAATTAGATATGGCCAAGTGACTAAGTACTCAACAATGGCATATGAGCAAAAGTGATATGTGTAACTTCCAGTTTTGACCCTTACAGGGAAGAAAACTAAGACTCCGAGAAGTGCATGCAAGAGAGTGATAGTTCTTGAATTGTACCAATGAGTCAAACACTAGGAAAGCAAAGCAACAGCATGGAAGGAGCCTAGGCCTCAGAACTGTGCGGAGCCAAGCCATTCTATCAGTTTACACTTTAAAAATAAAAAATAAACTTCTAGCTTATCTAAACTCCTATTATTGTGATCCTTTGCCACACTCAGCCAAACCAATATTCCAACTGAGACTGCATAGAAAGCACTTGGAACAATACTCAGCATAGGGTATGCATTAAATAATTGATAACTATTATTATGTATTATTATTGATTTGGCATTCAAAACTTTCACTTTAAAAGCATTATCTTTGATAATCCATGATGGTTTTCTTCTTCAAATGATAACTAGTATAACTCTGTTAGACCACTGTTTATTAATAATTTTGAGAAAGGCTCAAATGGTTCTCCAGGACCACTTTTTTGAACTTTATAAAATCCCATTTCTTTTATGTGATTACTACTTTCATTCAGAAATAATTTGCATTTTACTAATCAATATATCCACATCTAACATGCTGATTAGAAAAGCATGTTATACTGATATACGAACAGAAAGGGAGTTGACACAATGGGGTAGAATCAGAACAGATATCTGACTGAAGATATGTTTGAGTGGGGATACATTTTATAAGTAGTAGGTTCATTAATGGATAGTTCATATAACCACAGTTCTTTACTAATTGATAAACTTCTATAAAAATACTATCCTTCTAATCAATTATTTGGTTCTTAGACATAGTTTGAGAAAAACAGGATAAATTTTTTATTCTATTCATCAGTTTTCAAAATTCTATTTAACAACAACACGTTCAAACAAGCTGAAGACATTCTTGTATCTCTGGCTTCTAAATTCACCTACAATTCTCATAACATAAAACTTGTTTTAATAAGAATTTTTTTAATCTGGCAGCAATTAACCATCAGAGCAGATATGATATTTTTAGAACTGATAGGGACACATGTCTTTCTTGAGCAAGTCTTTATTTTTTTGGTAAAAAAAGAATACAGACAGGTTCTCAACTCAAATTAAAAAAAAAAAAAATTCCCACCATAGTGACTCCTTACAATTCCTGATCATTTTCTCGATGTTGAAAGAGTCTAATATATTCTTATAGTTCTGATGACATCTGTTTGACAGTAGCAGTTCCCCTCCGTGAGGAATTACCTCAGTCTATTTCAAAAATGCCTTTATGAGTGGTGGTATTTGAGCCTGGTGGCAACAACCTAACGGTCATTATACTCCTGTAAAAATGTTAGCTAGATCATATCATTTCTCAGTTCACAGTCCTCCAATGACTTCCTATGCCACTCAAGGGAGAAGCAAAAATTTTTAGAGAGGCCTTAAAGGCCCCCACAATGACCCCACCTCTTCACCCCCATCCCTTCTGCTCTATAGATACTAGCCTGTGCTGTTACTAAGTCAACCACAGACACTCCTGCTTCTGAGCCTTCGCATTGGTTGTTCCCTCCTTCTAGAACACTGTCTCACTCCAAGCCACATGGATTATTCCCTTCCTTCTTTGGGTGTCTTGTCACATTTTACCATCTCAGCGATACCTTTTCTGACCATCATCATTCAAATGGCAAACTTTCACTCACTCTCACCTGTATTCCTCTTGCCCAGGCCTACTTTATTTTTCTTCATAATGCTTATAACCAACTCGTACTAGCAATCTTACTGGTGTATCATTTATTTTTGGTCTCTCCATACTTGGATATGTGCTATTATAGAGCCAGGAATTTGCATGTTTTGTCACTTGCTGTATCCCCAGCACCTAGATCAACACTTGACACGAAGATGGTTTATCAGGCTGTTTGACTGAATGCATGAATAACTTGTTCCCACTCCTCAAGAGACTAGCAGCAGCACTACTTCAGCAACCCTGTTTGGTTTCTGAATTAAAATAATTAGATATATGACATGATGCCACATAATTAACTCAAAAACAAGACACCATGGGAAATGTGAAGGACTAAATATACAGATAGAAAACAGGTAGTCCAACTCTAATGTCTGCTTATCTGTTTTTGACTTCAGTTTTACACAGAATTTTCCAAACAGAAGTTTATTTAATCTTTCTTAGCACCTAGATTGTGACAGGAAAATACATACAAAATGGCCCCAAAGAAACAACAAACAAAATCCTATCTAAATAAAGAGTACTTTAGGAAGATTAATTACTGTTAAAAACAAATTAGAATAACTCATCATGTTTCTGACCCTCCTGCTTTTGGTAACCTCAAATATTCAAAACAAAGTCTGAGTTGAAAGCCCCAAAAAATGTGTCAGCTGTGAGCTTAGAGAAAACTGCTTAGTAAGGAACAGACATTTTTCTCTTTAAATGTGTTCCTCAAAGTGATTTCTGTAGAATCATGAGATATTAATAGATGACAACAAAGAAAGGGTTCTGGTGTCAAGTGTTAGTTTAAATAAGGTTTGTTACATTAAAACTTCTGAAAGTCTTGAATATATCTTGTAAGAGTATAAATTTGCCACAGGAGAAGTGCCATAGGCAGCATTTCCCAATCTGTTTTTGACAGTAAGCATTACCACCACCACCCACCATTTTTCCCAGAGCAACTATGGCCAATATACATTAGGAAACCAACGACTCTCAAACTTGAGCCCATAGACTAAGAATTGCAGGTGAAATTCAATAACTGATTTAGTAAACTTTGGTTGGTTGGGTTTCTCTTTTCTCCTGGAAACCTTCAGTTCTTGGAGTGCAACAGCTGCATAGACACAAAGGAAGAAAAAGGGAAAGCTATATAAAGAAACGTAATAGCTGTTGACAAGACAACAGAATGCCCAGCAAGGACAGCAAAATTACCTTGTTTACTTTCTTTAAGGGCAAGGTAAATCCAATGCAATGCACTTCAAAGGTTCCTTACAACATCATGGCATGATAACAAAGCAGAAATTGTTTATAACATAGATAAAAGTTGCATTACATTTAGAATATGTTGTGTAAAATGGTATATTAGTTTCCTAGGGTTTCCACAACAAAAGTGCTGCAAACTGGGAGGCTTAAGACAGCAGAAATTTATTCTCTCACAGTTCTGGTAGCTAGAAGTCCAAAACCAAGGCATCAGCAGGGTTGGTTCCTTCCGGAGCCTCTGAGAGAAAACCTTTTCCATGCCTCTATCCTAGCTTCTGATGATTGCTAGCAATCTTAGGCATTCCTTGGCCTGTATATACATCACTCCAATCTGTCCCTTTCTTCACATGTCACTCTCCTCTGTCTGTGTCTGTATCCAAATTTCCCTGTTCCTACTGATCACTGAATTAGTACTCACTCTAATAAGGTATGACCTCATTTTAATTTGAATACATCTGCAAACACCTCATTTCCAAATAAGTCACAGGTTCTGGGTAGACATGAAGTTTGTGGAAACACTATTCAACTCAGTACAGAGGTAAAATGTAAGCCATATGTTTTAAAACTATTTCCACAAAATGATTATCCATTGTAAAGTATTTTTTTTTAGATAAAGAAGGAATAATGTAATAGCAAGTAAATGCATTTTTTTTTTTTTGACAGACTCTCACTCTGCTGCCAGGCTGGAATGCGGTGGCATGATCTCGGCTCACTGCAACCTCTGTCTTCCAGGTTCAAGTGATTCTCCTGCCTCAGCCTCCAATTAGCTGGGATTACTGTGCCCGCCACCACAGCCAGCTAATTTTTGTTTTTTTAATAGAGACAGGGTTTCACCATGTTGGCCAGGCTGGTCTCGAACTCCTGACCTCAGGTGATCCACCCACCTCAGTCTACCAAACTGCTGGGATTACAGGAGCAAGCCACCACACCCGGCCAGACAGCTTATTTTTTTAAAGTGTTTTAGTAAAAAAAGGTATTCTGTGACAATGTGAAAAATTATCCCTGAAATTGTTTTAGATGTTATGATTCCCTATAAAATATTCCCAAAGTAGACACATGTGTGTTAGTAAACACTCAGCAAAAGACAGATAAAAGAAAAGCTAATCTTGAAACTAAAACATTGTTCTATCTCCGTGGACACTCCTTTGAAAAACACTGCATTTTATATTCTATGCAACCTCAGAGAGTGGCACCCATATACAATAAAATAAAATCTGATTTCATCCTACCCACAGTAACACAGAAAATGAATGTGTCATAATCTTCACTAGCTCCACCAAGATTTTATTAAGTGATTTTACTCCTGATGTTCTCACATCTCTTCATTTATCTTTCTCTTAAGTTATGATTAATTCTACTACTAAATGAAGGGTCAAAAAGTATAGGAAGACTTAAATGCTGAGTTAATCCATATACCCATTTGCTTTAGCAAAGGACAAAGTTGAGTGGTAGGTGCTTTTAATGATTCTCATGAGGCTACTATGATGGCCTTTCAGACTCAATCATTTGCCTCAATGCACACCAAAACACTCCTCATTTCTCAGAGAATCTTTAAAAAATTAAGTGAAATCCCCTGGAAGGGAACTCAATCAAAATGAAGTATCTGTAATTGGTAATAAAAGAAGGATCACCATATCATGAGCCAGAGAACTAACCTCATTTGAATTAGACTTTGACTCCTTATTAAGATGGAATTTTGAGTGCAAGTATAAACACTCATTCCCTCCCCTTCAGATCCAAAGCAATGAAACATGCACACATATACACATACAGACAGATATTTATATATTTATGTATATTATGTATAATATTGAAAAAGACAACTGAACTCAGAAACAAGATCAACATTCTATAACAGAAATGCAAAACAGCAGTATAACTTACTAGGCTCTTGGACTGGAAATAAGAAATTTCAAAATGGGGTGAGGGAGGAGAATAACAGGAACTCAAAGTGCTCCGTCTGTGTCAAGAGATAGGGGCTAGACTCAGGATGTAAAACCAGAGGTTGGGTTTAGTTTCCCTGATTTATGAGAGGAGCCTCGACAAAAAATAGTAACTATTACCCAGGGCTGAGACTATGTCAAGCTGCAGTCAGGGCAGCAATTGGAGCCAAGATTACTTCTCGTTCTGGGTCCTGTTATTCTCTGAGTTAGCCACAAGACTTGTAAAATATCAGTACCCCTGCCAGACTGGAGACCCAAAATGCCAGTGCATGGCCTAGTTCTGAATAGAGAGGAGCTGGATGCAGGTAATGGTAAAACTAGTAGGCAATATATAGAACCTCCAGGAGAAAAGAAATACAAAACAAACAAGAGCAACAAGAACCACAACTAAAAATCTGTTACTCAAAAGGAATTAGCAAACAAAAATTTAATCTCATATGAGGAAAATGCCACAAAATACAGCTCACATTCTAAACAATTGAGAGAGTTCATTTTGGGGAAATGCAAATAATAAAAATCTGAAAACAATGTACAAATAACTGTATAAAATACTTGTAGAAATAAATAGAAATAACATAATTCAAGTATAAAAGACTGTAAATTATTATTATAAACTGAGAATGTGGTTATGATGGAGTTATAAATGCTAGAAAGAAAATTACCATAACTAAAATTAAAACTGGAAAAGAGACTAATCCTGAGCTGAACACAGCTAAAGAAAAAATTACTGAACTGAAAGATTATACCAGAGAAACAAGTAAATGACAACTATGTAAGAGAATTTTAGGTAACATGCGGATTAGCTTGAGAGGCTTTCTATTTTACTCAGGATAAGAGAGTCAACATTGCAGTAGCAAATATTCCCAAATATCAGTATCTTCATAGAAGTTTACCATTCATTCAGGCCCTCTGTCGTAATTGCTAAAGCAGAAGAAAAGAGAGACTAGAGAGTTGCGCAGGGGCTTTTCCTTGCTTCAACTTGGCAATAACACACATCACTTCTCTCACATTTTATTGTCCATAATTAGTTACATAGCTCTGCTTAACTGCAAGGGCCTAAGAGGTATAGTCACACATATGTCCTTGAAGGAATAACTATTCCAATATTGGTGAGCACTACTAATGTCTCTCTGCTCCCACACATCACTAACAGGAGTTCCAGAAGTAGCAAGTTGAGAGAATGGTGAAAAACCAATATTTTTAAAAAGAATCATAATGATGCCTAAGAATTTTTAAGAACTGAAATAAAATGTGGCCGGGCACGGTGGTTCACGCCTGTAATCCCAGCACTTTGGGAGGCTGAAGCGTGCAGATTTTGAGGTCAGGAGTTCAAGACCAGCCTGGCCAACATGGTGAAACAACATCTCTACTAAAAATACAAAAATTAGCTGGGCATGGTGGCACACGCCTGTAACCCCACCTACTCAGGAGGCTGAGGTAGGAGAATCGCTTGAACCTGGGAGGCAGAGTTTGCAGTGAGCCAAGATCACCCTACTGCACTCCAGCCTTGGGGACAGAGCAAGACTCTGTCTCAAAAAAAAAAAAAAGAAAAAGAAAAAGAAAAAGAAAAAGAAAAATGTATTCTCAGACAGAAAGCAAAAGCTGGAAGAAAGCCAGATAAATTAAAAGTAAATTCATATTTAAATGCATTACAATAAAACTAGAATGCATTAAGGATAAAGAGAAAACTTTAAAAGCCTCCTAAGACAAAAGATAAATTATCTATTGGCAACTGATGCTTAAACTGGCAGCATATATCTCATCAACTACAACAGCAGCCAGAATATTCAAAAATGCTGAGAAGTAGTAACTAACAGTCTAAAATTTTCTGCCCCCAGCTAAACTAAGTTTCATCAGTGATGATAAGACAAAGAACCCTCCATACATGCAACTAAGGAGTGTTCACTGGCAATAGATACTCCCTGCAAGAATTACTAAAGGACATTCTTCAGGAAGAAAAAAAAAAAAACCATGGAAAGAAGAAGTAAAAAAAAAAACACGGAAAGAAGAAATGAAATGTATAAAACAGTGACAAAAGTAATTATAAAATCTACTGGTAATTCTTTTTTTTTTTTTTTTTTTTTTTGAGATGGAGTCTCGCTCTGTCGCCCAGGCTGGAGTGCAATGGCAGTATCTCAGCTCACTGCAACCTCCTCCTGGGTTGAAGTGATTCTCCTCCCTCAGCCTCCTGAGTAGCTGTGATTACAGGCACGTGCCATCATGCCCAGATAATTTTTTTTGTATTTTTTAGTAGAGATAGGGTTTCACCATGTTGGTCAGGCTGGTGTTGAACTCCTGACCTTGTGATCCGCCCACCTCGGCCTCCCAAAGTACTGGGATTATAGGCATGAGCCACCATGCCCGGCCAAAATCTACTGGTAATTCTTACTAGACACTGAGTGTAAAAAAACTAATTCACAGCACTTTAAAAATATATGTAGAAGAAAAATTGCAGACATTAGTAAGATAGTAAGAGAAGAGCAGTGAGGCTGGATGTTGTTCTGGAGGAAGATAGAAATGTTAAAGAAGTTTAGACTTTTCCAGAACCAAATATGAAATTAAGTATGCATATTGAGTTAAAGGCTTTCACGTAATATCCCCCAAATCCTATTTTTAAGTCTCTATAACAACGACGACAAAGCAAAAACAAATGGGGTCACTGTAATAGTTTCCTTTTGGTTTAAGCAATATCAAGTGTGTACAGACTGGTTTGGCTGATTGATAATAAGTGTTCAATTCTAGGTGCTGAAAAATGAAAAATAAGTACGACTGTACTCTCAGCAACGATCCTTGCAAAGTTAATATTACTAGGTGGTCTATAGAGTAATGAAAATAGTACACTGTGAGTTCAAAGGAAGGAGACAGCATTCAGTCATGGAAATCAAATAATGTAGGTGGTATCTGATTGAGAATGGAAGGGTAATGAAGACATATGTCAGAAGGCAGGGTGAAGGAAAAAGTCATTTCACAAGAAAAAAGGTGTTAGTCAAGGCAGTGCATTAGGCAGACAAAGGTAGGGCAGAGGAAGCAGTCTTTTCCAGGCACAGGCAATTAAGGAGTGCACTGCCTGCAGATAATCCAAAACCATTCATAAGGCTGATAATATGTTCATTAGCTTTTTATGATCACCACATACCCACCAAATTTCAATGACAAAACATCCTAAAAATATTTTACTGGTCTAATGTCTAAACAACTATATAGTTATTATTGAGTTTAATACTACACATGAGTTCCAAATTGGCAATTATGCACCCTTTCATAAACATGGTATTCTGCATGGAAGTTTGGAGAACAACCAACATACAATTAACTTCCACTTATTTCTAATAGATAAGACCTAATCTCTAATAGATAAGAACTAAACTACACATACTCATTACAAGTGTAATTTTTTTTTTTTAAGACAATGTCTCCCTCTGTTTCCCAGGCTAGAGTGCCATGGTACAATCTCAGCTCACTGCAACCTCTGTTTCTCGGGTTCAAGCAATTCCCTTGCCTCAGCCTCCTGAGTACCTGGGATTACAGGTGTGCACCACCATGCCTGGCTAATTTTTTTGTATTTTTAGAAGAGACAGGGTTTCGCCATGTTGGCCAGCCTGGTCTCAAACTCCTGACCACAAGTGATCCACCCACCTCAGCCTCCCAAAGTGCTGGGACCACAGGCGTAAGCCACCATGCCCAGCCAACAAGTGTAATTTTTATAATAGTTCAGAGTCATCTGAGTTTGCTTTGGCTGCAATTTGTGTCTCTAACACATGTAGTACTATCTGTTTCAAAATAAGCAATAGTAGTGCAGTCTTTGTAAAGAAGAATCAGAACTTAAATTACCTTAATTCTGTCATCCTATGAGCCTACTTGGAATTTTATTTGTATTTAAATCAATGAAACAGTACAAATTCTAAGGTGTAACATTTTCATTTGCTTACTATTAATTTTATTGCATTTGTAGAACAATTTATAATATTTGAATTAAACCTTAAAATTAAAATGTACTCTAATTTCATTGTTGTTTTGAACCTAAAGAACAAATCAAAAAGTAATAATATTACTGATATTACCCTATTACTAAAAAGTAATCTTGTTATATAGAAGAGAGGATATTTAAAAAAATCTGCTCTATCAAATATGCTAGGTGCACAAGCTAGAAATATAGGAAGTCATAGCTGTGTGTAATACAGCAAGTCACATTTACTTCAAAAGCTTCAAAAAGCCAAAGCTTTACAATTCAAACTTGGATTTCATAATGTATCTATATAAAATAAAAAATAATCTGAATAAGTGAAAAGTACCGCATTTACTCTTGCTGTAATTTTAATACATTTCCCCTATCTTCCCAAAATAGTGAGTAAATAGAGTTATAATGAAAATTTTTTATGAGATTCCTCAGGATTCCTCTGTGATGGTAATCAAATAGAAAGTTATATAAAGGCAGCACTACTGGGCCTCCTTAGGAAACAATGACCACTGGAGTGCCCTTCAATCTTCCCTCCACCTTTTCTTTTCCTGTTTCTACCACTTCACCCTAATTGAAGCCCACATTACACTATTGTCATAACTCACTACCTGGTTTCTTTTCTTCTATCTCTTTACTTATTGTACCCACCCACAATATTGGTGTTTTCTCACACACACAAGAGTCTCTCCTTCTAGAGCCTACAGAACCAGGCCTCCATGATGTGCTCACAAAATAATTTTATTGCCAGCCAAACTATGATGGCTCTGAAATCTGTTTTTCACCCACAGTAAATGCCTGACCATAGACCAGAAGAGACATGCTTTCTCCTGCATTTAGAGTTTTGGCTCTCACAGCTCATTCAAACCACAGTGCCCTTCCCTTACTTTCTTGTGTTTAAATCTGACTTGTTCCTGAAGCACCTAATCATGCATTTCTTTATAAAGCCTTCCTAGTTTATCTAGCAATAATTAATTTTCCTCCCCTTCATTCCCACGGTCTGTTACCTACTGGGTAAATGTGTTTGTGCTAATTGGCCTCTGAGCCTCAGATTCCTAATCTGTAAAATGGACGTAACAATGATACTGATCTCAGAATCACGAGGGTAAAATGAGATGACGCAGTGCTTTTCAAACTATACAACATTAATGTTTCACTTCTTTAACTTGCAATTCTGATTTGCACAAAAGTTAATGCCTGTCTTCCCCAAGGTATAGACCCATCTACCTTATATCCCTTTTTCCCTAGCACTTACTCCTTCACCAGGACTTGTGTATGGCCAATGGGAAGAAATCAGTTTTCTAATGAGAAATAAAATGTGGTTCATTACACTCTCAGGTTCTTAAAATCTAATTATGCAATATAGCCCTAATAAATTTAAAATCACTGTTCTTAAATTCATGGAATTTTATCTTACCATCTTCCATTTTTTTTCTCTCAACCAAAAGTTTTAGAAGTACAAAGGCCAATACTAGGAAGCAGCTTCCTAAAATAAGAAAAAATATATGAGGCTGCCAAATCAAAATATCCCCAACTTTACCCATTGGGATTGTCTATGAAAGACTATTAATCTTTTTTGGCCTTTCCAAACTTTAGTTTTAAACAACTATTGCTGCTTTATATTTGATTCCCTCTTGAGCTATATAAAACCCCAGTACAGACTGAGGATAAAGTTTATAATAACAATCATTGATTATCATGGAAACGGAAACTTCAATCTAAGAAGAAAACTGCTCATCCTCAAAATGAAAATTCAGTCCAGAGTCTGAAATTAATTTGTCTCAATGTGCAACTGTGATGGTTAGTGGAAGCACGTGGCACAGTGCGAAAGCTTCTCCTCCTTGCTGAAGTTAAACAAACAAATGTTCAAATTTACACACAATTCCTAACTTGAGACGTGGCCTTGAGCAAGCTGCTTAATTTCTCTAAATCCCAAATCCCAATTCCTCTTTAACAAACAGAACAAAAAACAACACCTCTAAGATGGTGTAATCACTAAGGAAAGTAACGTAATTCAAACACTTAGAACCATGTCTAACACAGATGTGTTCCATAAATAATTATCATTATCATTAATAATTCTGAATTATGTTGAAAAATAATTTTTATAGTGGTTTTGTGTTTTCTAAAGTAACTGTTATTTTACTTTACAAGTTAATTCTTCTTTTACTTTTTCAATTGAAGAATGATATTCAAACAAAGTATACAAACTATCAACGTGCAGTGGGATCAATTTCCACAGTATAAATGTGTCAGGTAACCTTTAGCTAGAGCAAGAAAGAGAATGTTACTCACGTAGCGGAAGCCCCTACTTTGCCCCACTTTCAAGTACTATCCCAAGGGTAATCACTACCCTATTGTTTTAGAACACACACTAGTTTTGCCTGTTTTTGAACTTTATGTGAGTAAAATCATACTGTATGTACTTTTTTGTGTCTGGCTTCTTTTATTCAACATTTTGTTTCTGAGATTCATTCATATTGTGTGTAAATTAATAACTTTTAATGTGATGTTTTCAATTATATACTCATAAAACTAAAATATGTTAAATAATATTTCTCTGAAAATATAGTTATTAATTCTGTATTACTTAGCCTTACCTAGCTGGGTAATATGCAACAAACATGTCCATCAAATGTTAGGTTTGTACTAGCATTCTTTGACTTTCACATAAAATAAATTTAAAAAAAATAATTTGTGGTACCATTTCTTGCTGCTTCTAATATTCAGTACCCTGTATACTGGGACCATCTAAAGGAAGATGGGAAGTCATGAAACAGAAGAACATGGCAAAGAACTCCATATGAACAGTAATTACTGTTCAAGTACATCTGAACTGTCATGAGCAATAAGACCTTTGGGTTTTGTTCTGCCAGGCATAACAAGTACCTCCAATGTCACCAGTTTCCAAATTTGACTCTGACATGGGACAGAGGAGACTGGTGACAGATGGGCAAAATTTAGCATGTGGCTTGGACAGTCTTCGGGATGGAAGTCTTGTTATCTGTAACTGGCTGCCAAGTCCTGCATGTTACTTTGTAACAGACACCACTGGGAAACTTTGTAGCTTCAGCCAAAAACACAGACTTAAGAGAACCAGATTTCTTCACTGTTAGTATTTGTAACATTTCACCCACATTGGGCTCCTCTGCAATAATGAAATAGTCACCAGTATGAATCTGAATGAGAAAAAAAGCATTTTGACACAACAGACTGATTTTTTTTTTTTACTTAGGATAGTAGCTTATTAGACATGAAATTGGCCATTTCTAAATCAACTCTTCTTTGGTTTAGTGAGGTATTTCAAATTAATTGGCCTTTAGGCCAAATCTTGCTCCAAACATCTTATAATAATCAGTTTTAAAGAACAATAAGAACCCTTAAGGTTGGATGTGTAAAATATGTTCTCTAATTGTTATTTATCAATGTATCTAACCTAAATTTAAACAGAAAGCAATTTTTTATAAATGGTGGGTTACTACAGAGTCACATATAATAATTAATAATTAATAATCCGTGAATAAATTAACCTTACTGCTGCAGCTCTGGGGCCCTTCCATTCAGTTCAGAGCAAGTAGATATGCTGCAAAATGTTTCCTGATTGCTTAATACAAACACAGACATTTTAAGATTAGCATTTTGGATTATTTATCCTCTACCTTCTACCAGTTTGTCTATATAAGAGTTGTTTACTGTAGTCCCAGCTACTCGGGAGGCTGAGGCAGGAGAATGGCGTGAACCCGGAAGGCGGAGCTTGCAGTGAGCGGAGATCGCGCCACAGCACTCCCGCCTGGGCGACAGAACGAGACTCCGTCTCAGAAAAAAAAAAAAAAAAAAAGAGTTGTTTACATAGTTAGAAATGTTTCCTAAATACTGGTTGAGAAAATACTTTTAGAAAACATAATAAATGGACTAGCAAAATGTTTTACATAGTAATTTTATTAATACTTACAATAATGCTAGAATAGATTTTCATTTTATGATAAAGCCTTTTATGGATTTAATAACTGACTTTCCACTACTTTAGAGAACAGTTGATCCACTTAAGACAATCTACTCATTAGCTCATCCTTCAGTCATACTCTTCCTAACTTTCAAATATTCTCCTCCCTCCAAATTCTACTTATTTTGTCACATGTTCAGCTGAAAATAGCAACAGTATTATTACAATGCTTTAAACAAATAATGAAAGTTCAGAGGTAGGCAGTTGAACTCACAGATTCAACTACTAAATGAAGACAACAGGGATACCGGCACTTTCTATGTTTGTGCCCTGCTTTTCTAGCTATGTGAACCAGTTATGGCCAGTGACATCTAAAAGGACGTCAGTCATGATGGGCTTTGTTTTTAACCCAAGGAAAAATGTGATACCTAAAAGGCGTGGCAGCCATTTTGCAACCATGATTTTAAAATGCCTTAAATAACTAAGAGTTTATTTACCTCCCATAGCCGGAAGTATGAGGGATTTGTACTCATTAATTCAACTTCTAAATGAAACAACAAACAGATGAAAGCAAAGATGACCAGATTGGCTAAGCCGACAATGTGTGTTCATGTTTACCAAGAATGTAAAGGCTTTTCCAAGAACTACCATAGCCCTTGGACCTTAGACCTCATTGGTCAGAATGGGAACTCATGGCTGAGAAAGTAAGGAACAGGAAGGTCATAAAAGTCTTACATTGTCTTCAGCTAAACAATGGAAGAAAACAGATAACGGGTAAGCACCTAACATGTTTGTCACTGTTCCTTTAAAACCATGCTTCCCATAATAACAATGTTCAAGCAAAGATTATGTAAACCCAACTAACCTATAACATAGTATCAGCCCTCTTTTGATACCAATATTTGGTGTATATTTCAAATACATGTCAGTTAAGCATTTCATAAATATTTTGTGTTTATTATGCCAGGATTGGCACACTAATGCACTAACACCAGAATAGCTCATTATACATTGCATCAGTATTTTATAGATAGCTTACATTTCACAGGGCCCTAGAATTACCGCCACCATCTCAGTTTCTCTCTGAATCCCTAGGGCCAACTCATATGGAGAATGAATCTTTAAAATCTCTTGAGCTTGCTGCATTCTTGTGCCACACCCTGAAGGCAATTCAAAAGGTCCCTGAAGTTAACTCGCAGTTCAGCAGTTCAGCAGCAACCAGCCAGTGAAAGCTGTCATGTGAGACTGGTAGCCCTCAGCATCCTCTGGAGATGGCTGGATTGACATGAATCCACTACCTGCTAGAATAATCTAATTATGCCTAAAGGTTTTCACTGAAAAGGCTTTACTCCAGGTCCCTGTCACTCTCCCTGTGGGTGAAGTCAGCTATCCAATGACTTTCAAACACTCTCTGCATGTGGCTTTGTAACACATGAAGAAGTTCCTGAAATGTCAATCCTAAGGGACAAGTGTTCGTGTCACTAAAGCAATACATCATAACCTCTGCACTTTCTGGATCTTTCAGACAAAAGCCAAAAGCTATGAAGGCCACGAGGAAATTATTCTTGCTATCTAAGAGTTGGTATTTCCAAAGAAAAATATATTTATTTTAGGAGAGTTATGGGGATGAATTTGCACTATAGTAGTTCCTGCAAAGCCTGTCCTATGAATAAAAAGCCTTCAGTTCCTGAAGTCTGAAAAATCTGGTAACATTCAGAGCATATGGATTTAAAAAGGAAAAAAAGTTGAAGTGTGACATTTCTTTTAACCCACAATTTTACAGCTGGAAGAAATCTTTTCCACTCTTAGATGGCATAATGTGAAAATCTAACCAACCAAGCTTAAGGTCTCTAAATTCACCACTTTTATTCTACTACCAAATTCCAAGATTTATTAAACATCTCCTCTCACACTACTCTGGGTTTTATGAGCAAACCAGATTTGACCTTTAAAATAGTAGAAGCATCTGGATTATTTCAACTGATTTTCCTACTGGCAGTTTTTTAGGTCCTTATTATATTTCTACTTTCTATCTGACTCCACATACAAAATATAGAGGAGAAAAGTCTAAAAATATTTCTAATTTTTAATACTTTAAGGTTTAATTAAACAATATTTCTAATTTTTACTACTTTAAGGTTTGCTTAATTAAAATTATCTGACGATAAGTATTGATGCATTACCATACTAGACATCAAAATGCTTCTTTATACACAGCTGCTGAATTAACTTCACTAGACCTGATTTCAATTCATATTTCACAATCTCCATCCCTCTCTAAAATGCTCTTTTATACCCCAGCAGCTGTTCTAAGAGCATAATACCTTGCTGGTCCAAACTCAGATCATTAAGATCAAAGATATAGAAAGGGAAGCATGATTGAGGTCCAATGTTATAACTTTTAATGATATACATTCTGGATTTTTTATCTCAATATCTCAAAGGGAATCTTCTTAATGGGGTTCCATAATCATAATAGGTCCATGGGAATGCAAAAGAGCTCCAGGGCACTACTGGAAAGTTCATCTTAGAGTCATAAGGACATCTTTGCTATGAATAGGTGAGATAACACTATAACTTTGGGAAAGAAGCACCTCTCTCTGAAACAGGGTAACATTTACTGGATCAATTAAAAATCAGTTGTCATACTAGGTCATCTATTTTTTTCTGGTCCCACATTTTCTGAAAATAAAATAGGAAAATTAATGCTAACTACTGCAGTTCGTACTTGGGATTCTTGTTATAAATAAGTAAAAAATATGATTGCATCACATTTTGTGAAGCCACTATACTGCAGCGTTGTCCATGTGTATGCATCATTGTAAGAAACAGAGGATTAGGAAATTATGTAAAAGTACCAACAAGTAGTAAAAGCTAAAATCTTGTCTCTATTAACTATTTACTAATATTGCCTCAGGCAAATTTTTGTTTTATATTTAGTGTATTAACAGCAATCATTTTCATCTATTCATCCAGCCAATCATTTACTCATTGGGCAAACATGGTAGAGCTGTTGTTTTCAGCACAGTGCTGAGCAATGAAAACACTAGATGTAAGATGATTCCACTGTGCGATAGTCTGCTACCAACAAAGAATTTCTGAGCGTGGTTCTTGACAAGAACATGACTAGCATAGACAGAAAATACATTTATCCTGTCATCCTCATTAAAGTTCACTAACTTCTCTTGTAAAATAAGGACAAATGCACTTTACCTAACTTGCGAATACTTAGGAATATTTTTCCAGACAAGTAAATTACCTATATTTATATTGCCTGATGAATAAAGACTAATACTTATTTCGAGTTTATTATATTCTGAACACACCTGTTTAAGTCTCTTACATGCATTATCTCATATAGTCTTCATAATGCTTTATAAAGGAAGTAGTATTTTTATCCCTACTTTATAAAATACACCACAGAGAAAAATTCAGAGATTTGGTAGCTTGCCTAAGTGGTAAATATTTGTACCTAGGCCCGTCTGACTCCGAAGCTGAGTTTCTTAAACGTGTATATAAACGAATTTCAAACTTGCTGCATGTCTAAGCAAAACCTGCCTCAGTGTTTGCACATATCCATGTTAGCATTCAAAGCATACATTTAGAAGGCATAGAATTGCAGAATTGGGGGAAAACTTAGACACCATGTAGTCCAATCTAGCCATTTACAGTTAAAAGGTAGACCTTAAAATTAGGAGAAAAAATACCTATTGAGTGAAAAACTAAAAGGAGTAAGGAAAAAGCTGAATAAGGCAAAGGAAGTGAGGAATCCTACATTATTCATCTTTGTACTCCTAGTACTTAATACAATCCTTAGCAAATAGTTAAAACTCAACATATGTTTGGTCAATTGGATTATGTTACATGTTATAAGTTTTTTAAACTCATCTCTTAAAGCTCAAGGGCACAGGACACTTTCAATTGCTTAAGGTTTATAATGTATTAAAAATGAAGCAATGAAAAAACTGTGATATATTTTATATGTTCAATCCTGTTAGTTAATGTTTGTAATTATCCATATAACTTCATTTGGATATAAGGCCTAAAGTATGCCTTCTACCCAAGGTGTAAGAGTGAAATACTTTGAGATCCTATCTCGGGTAAGCCTTACAATTCTATGGTCTGAATATATTATTACCCCCAATTACAAACAAACAGTTTAGGCAACTCTTACTATGTTCACACATTTGAAAGTGATGCGACACTTTATATTCTATGTCCTTAGACTTTTAAAAATCCAAGAGTGCTTATGTAATACTTTTACAAATTACCAAATAAAATACACAAAATAATTTCAGAGACATTAAATTATTAAATTGTCAGTATATCAAACCAACAAAAATTTGAAGTTTTATTTAAAAATTTCTTCCCTAGAGTGTTCTACTAAGTTCACCAATTTTAATGAATATATTCAGAAACTGTGTAAGGATTATCCTTTTAAAATGCACTTAACCGAAATAGCACTAAATTATATGTGGATGCTTAGAGTTTCCTCATGTGTTGATTACCAGGATGCATGTTAGATTTTTCAGGAATTAGATTTGATACTATCTCCTTATTATGCAAAACCATGGAAAACATTTAATTAAAACTTAATTAAAGTCTCCATGATGCCTCAACCCTATGGAGTCCATTTTTCAACAACAAGCAGCAAAGAAAGCCTCCAGGACAGTTTTTGAAAAATGATGTATAGGAACTCACTTTTCTCAGATCCTGTATCCTCACAAATAACTTTTTCATTTGCATCAGCCTATAAAGTGACAGATTAATACTAAAACTGGTAATTATCAATTATAAATAAATACAGAGATTTAGATCAGTTACTAATACTTCATTTCTTCTAGAGCTTTTATATATCATTTCAAAACATGAGAAAATTCTTATAGTATTATGTCTGTCATGTAGTAGGCTTCCAATAAGTATTTAATAAAATGAATGTTAACTATGTATATATTAAAAACTCTAATACCCTGATACAATGTCTTTCCTAAAATATTTATAGTTAAATATTTGAACTAGTAGTTTTCATTGTGATTAGAGTAATTTTGTTTACATAGATATACTTTGTGTAATAGGATAAGTTATAGTATAAAGTGACCTATGTGGAGGAGAAAATCCTCAAATATAGCCTTATTCTGTAACTTCTAAGAAGATAATTCAGTCTTCTCACATAGTTTTAACTCACATCAGAAAACAAGAGCGCATAAAAACATTCATACTCGGCAATAAAAAGAAATGAACTGCTGATACATGCAACATCATGGATGAACCTCAAAAAACGTTCTGCAGGAAAGAAGCCAGACACAATAGAGAGAATATGTGATGATGGCACTTACATGGCATTCCGGAAGAGGAATAACTAAACTATGGTGATAGAAATCAGAGCAGTGGTTCCCTGGGTAGCCATGAAGGGGGTCAGGGGTGGGGCTTCAATTCAGGGGATGATGTAATAGAGCAGGAGAAACCCTGTGGTGATGAGATGTTCTATATTTTGATAAGGGTGTAAGTTACAAAGGTGTATGCACATTTCAAAATTTTTAAACTGCACACGATGATCTGTGCATGTTACTGTAAGTCATGCTTCATTTTGAAAAAAATTAATGTGTACCAGACATAATTCATCTTATGGAAATCAGTCCTCCAAATATGACACTGTTGTAATTTTTGGAACTCCTCTTTTGGAATTGCATTCCGAGATGAGAATATATTTCTTTGATATCAGTAGCATAAAATCATCTAAAGGTAAAATTGTTCAGGGTCAAGTCTGTACGTTCCAAGTGGTTAAGCTAGAAAAGACTATTTATGCTCGTCATGCTGAAGTAGTGACTAATTTAATGAGACTAATTTTTCTCACAAACTGATTATTCACACACAAACACAAACAGTTAAAAACTAATTGGTATGGTAAATCTAAGTTAAGCTTTCCAAAAAAACTTATTGGTTAAATGTGGAATCCCTGAAATAAGTGTCAAAGTCTCCCTATGACAATACTTTAAAGGGAGCAACTTTAATCACATGTATAAGAGATGCTAAAATATAATGGAATAGATAAGGTAATTACACCTATTTTGTTCTGCACACACACACATATACATCATTATGACTTAAAATAAGATTTACACTAGAAAATAGCTCATTTTTTCTTCATTATAGAATGTCTGTAAGACACAGATATTCTCAGATAAAATTGTAATTTGCAATTATGCTCAAATTTATTCCCTAACAGGAAAAAGATCTTTGCTCTTTATTAAATTTTATTTACCATCTAATATGTATGATGCAGTGATCACATATGTCTCCCTATTGCTCCTTCCCAATGAGACTGCAACAGGATAGACTGAATCTTTAACACACCACATGGGATGGCAATCTCCAGTATCATGCTCTTATTTTATTCCATTATTGGAATGGAGAGCATAAATTCTCATAATACAGAACTCGTAGGAAAATAGAAGAATCAACTGCCAGAATGACCAGAGTCCAGCCCTCAAAAAAGAATTGGGTATTTAAACTTAAATGGGTTATATCCAACAAGTAATCCTATGTAGATCTATGAAACCTGAGTTTACTGCCTTATGATAAAATTTTTTGGTCAAAAAATCTCAAATTTAAAAATCTATTTTTGTGTAATAAACAGTATATCTGAAGTTCTAGTTCCTCATCAGGTGCCCTAAAACCCAAGCCAGGGTTCTTATTTCTTTGTCCTAAATATGAGAGGTTTGAATTAGATGTCCTCCAAACTTCCCGCCAATGCTGTCACCATATTTTTCTATGAATCTATTTGATACAAGTGAGATAGTAGCCAAAAACCAACTAAAGTTACTGTAGCTATTGCCTTAGAGACACATGAAACATGACCAAAAAAGTTAATGAAATGTAGGTGTACGATCTTGAGTTCTCCCTTCACGAAATCACAATAGTCTGCACAGATAACTTCAGAGAACAAGTAAATGTTTTCTGAGGATTCCAAAATAACTTTAGGATAATTCTGTTCAGTGAGCTATTATATCTGTTATTTTAAATGTGTGTAGCATTTCATCATCATTAAATGCACTACTAATAGATTCGTTATATGTTAATCAACCATGCTACTTAGAACACTTGGGCATTTCAGAGATTAGGAAAGGGGTTAAAAAAAATCCTTTCCTAAGAATATGAAAGTACTAAGTACTAATGTAAACATCAGAAATCTGAATTGTTGGTCTGCTTCTGTCCAATGGGAGATGAACAACTGTGAATGTAAAACTGTTTGAATTTACATTTCTAGTTGTTCATCTCCCAGTGCCTAGAGATTATCCTGTTCATATATCTATTGAAAACCAACTCAGAAAGATGAAAAGTTATACTATTTTTACAACCTTTCAGAGAGAGTCCACAAACTGCCTTAATAATTCACTCTAAAAATGTAACCACTTTTATTGTCAAGAAATTATTTTCTATGTCAAACATAAATTATATTACCCAAGAGCCTCCTCCTGGTGAAGTTAAGCCATCCCAGATCACTTTTCCTGTGGGTCTTCTTTTCTAATACCTCCTGTAGTAGCATCCTGTTTTAATCTTTGTGATTATTCTTCAAGGTTTTTAAGACCAGACACCATATTCTAATGATTAGCCTAGGGGCTGGCAAATTACAATCCACAAGCCAAATCTACCTGTATTTCTAAGTAAGGTTTTATTGAAACACAGCCATGATCATTCATTTATGTATTTATGTATTGTCTAAGGTGGCTTATGTTCTTATAACAAAGATAATATGCCCTGCAAAGCAAACAGATATTTCCTGTCTCTTTACAAAAAATCTTGCAGATCCCTGATCTAGTCAATGAAGTAACTTGAAATGTACAATTACTTCAGGTTTCATTTTACTTGTGTAAATACAGGGCCTGAGCAGTTTTATCATACACTTTCCAACAATTTCAGATCCTCTTTGGTGTAACATAACATCTTAAAATATTGGTTCACGGCAAATGTGTAAGAGTATCATATAAGACGCCCAATATAAGTTGATCAGTTTCAACTCCAAGCAGAGAAATCATTTTCAGCAAAAAGTGTTAAATCTTCCTCCACAATCAGGGTATGTATAGGAACACAGAGAGCCTCAGAATTCTCTCAGTAAAGGGACAGTGAAGCTGCCCATTCATAGCACTGTATCACCTCCCAATAATCTGATACATTCTCTTTCCTTAGCTTAATGGTGTACTGTGCAGATCTGAGGAGACCATACCAAATGCTTCCAGAGCCGGAAAGCCATATAAAATAGTGGAGCCTGCTGGTGTGAGACTATAGGGCATGGTGGGGTCTGTGGAGACCCTGAGCGCATTCAACTGCCCAAATGTATTAGCACTGATCTCCAAAGGGCTGCTGTGCAGTAATATGGGCCCAGAGTAGACAAATGTTTTTCAAGGGAAACTGAACAGCAAGATTCAAATTTCTTAGTACACTGTTAGTGACAACACTGTAAAGGCTGAAAAACTGAACCTGTGGCCACTTAAAGTTGCAAAAATCTTTAGGATGTACTTGTCACTTGAGAATATGTCTGTGGAGGAGAACTGACCATAGTTAAATCTTCTGGTTTAGAAATGAAGAAACTAAAGCACAGGAAAATTAAATTACTAGTCTAAGACTGTACTGAGTGTAGCTAGTCTGGGGCTAAAATTCTAGTGGAGTTCTGCTTTCAGCATACCACTCCGTAAATGCTTCTTCATTTGGAGGGATTCAAGGGATCCACTGAGAATCTGATAAGACCTAAGGATTCTTTCAGAGAAAAATATACGTAAGTGCAAATTCACCAAAAAATTGACTTGTAATGTAAAGGATTTCATACAGTCATGGAGCTTATCCATGCGCATCCCCTTTTCAGGGATTTCTGGACACAAGGTTTAGTATTTTTTAATTATTCAATATGAAGAATTCATAATAATCCAATTATGTCAGACAAAAAAAAGTCAGAAGCTTTACAACATTCGAGATAGGCTTCATTTACTACTTCCATCCATTTGTTTGACCATTATGTCACCTAATTATACCAGAGCAAATTTGTCAGACAGAACATGTTCCCAAACTAATAACACTGGTTTTATAACATTCTTTTTTTTTTTTTAATGTTTTTTTTTTTTTATTATACTCTAAGTTTTAGGGTACATGTGCACATTGTGCAGGTTAGTTACATATGTATACATGTGCCATGCTGGTGCGCTGCACCCACTAACGTGTCATCTAGCATTAGGTATATCTCCCAATGCTATCCCTCCCCCCTCCCCCGACCCCACCACAGTCCCCAGAGTGTGATATTCCCCTTCCTGTGTCCATGTGATCTCATTGTTCAATTCCCACCTATGAGTGAGAATATGCGGTGTTTGGTTTTTTGTTCTTGTGATAGTTTACTGAGAATGATGGTTTCCAATTTCATCCATGTCCCTACAAAGGACATGAACTCATCATTTTTTATGGCTCCATAGTATTCCATGGTGTATATGTGCCACATTTTCTTAATCCAGTCTATCATTGTTGGACATTTGGGTTGGTTCCAAGTCTTTGCTATTGTGAATAGTGCTGCAATAAACATACGTGTGCATGTGTCTTTATAGCAGCATGATTTATAGTCCTTTGGGTATATACCCAGTAATGGGATGGCTGGGTCAAATGGTATTTCTAGTTCTAGATCCCTGAGGAATCGCCACACTGACTTCCACAATGGTTGAACTAGTTTACAGTCCCACCAACAGTGTAAAAGTGTTCCTATTTCTCCACATCCTCTCCAGCACCTGTTGTTTCCTGACTTTTTAATGATTGCCATTCTAACTGGTGTGAGATGATATCTCATAGTGGTTTTGATTTGCATTTCTCTGATGGCCAGTGATGATGAGCATTTCTTCATGTGTTTTTTGGCTGCATAAATGTCTTCTTTTGAGAAGTGTCTGTTCATGTCCTTCGCCCACTTTTTGATGGGGTTGTTTGTTTTTTTCTTGCAAATTTGTTTGAGTTCATTGTAGATTCTGGATATTAGCCCTTTGTCAGATGAGTAGGTTGCAAAAATTTTCTCCCATGTTGTAGGTTGCCTGTTCACTCTGATGGTAGTTTCTTTTGCTGTGCAGAAGCTCTTTAGTTTAATTAGATCCCATTTGTCAATTTTGGCTTTTGTTGCCATTGCTTTTGGTGTTTTGGACATGAAGTCCTTGCCCACGCCTATGTCCTGAATGGTAATGCCTAGGTTTTCTTCTAGGGTTTTTATGGTTTTAGGTCTAACGTTTAAATCTTTAATCCATCTTGAATTGATTTTTGTATAAGGTGTAAGGAAGGGATCCAGTTTCAGCTTTCTACATATGGCTAGCCAGTTTTCCCAGAACCATTTATTAAATAGGGAATCCTTTCCCCATTGCTTGTTTTTCTCAGGTTTGTCAAAGATCAGATAGTTGTAGATATGCGGCATTATTTCTGAGGGCTCTGTTCTGTTCCATTGATCTATATCTCTGTTTTGGTACCAGTACCATGCTGTTTTGGTTACTGTAGCCTTGTAGTATAGTTTGAAGTCAGGTAGTGTGATGCCTCCAGCTTTGTTCTTTTGGCTTAGGATTGACTTGGCGATGCGGGCTCTTTTTTGGTTCCATATGAACTTGAAAGTAGTTTTTTCCAATTCTGTGAAGAAAGTCATTGGTAGCTTGATGGGGATGGCATTGAATCTGTAAATTACCTTGGGCAGTATGGCCATTTTCACGATATTGATTCTTCCTACCCATGAGCATGGAATGTTCTTCCATTTGTTTGTGTCCTCTTTTATTTCATTGAGCAGTGGTTTGTAGTTCTCCTTGAAGAGGTCCTTCACATCCCTTGTAAGTTGGATTCCTAGGTATTTTATTCTCTTTGAAGCAATTGTGAATGGGAGTTCACCCATGATTTGGCTCTCTGTTTGTCTGTTGTTGGTGTATAAGAATGCTTGTGATTTTTGTACATTGATTTTGTATCCTGAGACTTTGCTGAAGTTGCTTATCAGCTTAAGGAGATTTTGGGCTGAGACGATGGGGTTTTCTAGATAAACAATCATGTCGTCTGCAAACAGGGACAATTTGACTTCCTCTTTTCCTAATTGAATACCCTTTATTTCCTTCTCCTGCCTGATTGCCCTGCCTGATTGCCCTGGCCAGCAACAAAGATCAAAAGAGACAAAGAAGGCCATTACATAATGGTAAAGGGATCAATTCAACAAGAGGAGCTAACTATCCTAAATATTTATGCACCCAATACAGGAGCACCCAGATTCATAAAGCAAGTCCTCAGTGACCTACAAAGAGACTTAGACTCCCACACATTAATAATGGGAGACTTTAACACCCCACTGTCAACATTAGACAGATCAACGAGACAGAAAGTCAACAAGGATACCCAGGAATTGAACTCAGCTCTGCACCAAGCAGACCTAATAGACATCTACAGAACTCTCCACCCCAAATCAACAGAATATACATTTTTTTCAGCACCACACCACACCTATTCCAAAATTGACCACATAGTTGGAAGTAAAGCTCTCCTCAGCAAATGTAAAAGAACAGAAATTATAACAAACTATCTCTCAGACCACAGTGCAATCAAACTAGAACTCAGGATTAAGAATCTCACTCAAAGCCGCTCAACTACATGGAAACTGAACAACCTGCTCCTGAATGACTACTGGGTACATAACGAAATGAAGGCAGAAATAAAGATGTTCTTTGAAACCAACGAGAACAAAGACACCACATACCAGAATCTCTGGGACGCATTCAAAGCAGTGTGTAGAGGGAAATTTATAGCACTAAATGCCTACAAGAGAAAGCAGGAAGGATCCAAAATTGACACCCTAACATCACAATTAAAAGAACTAGAAAAGCAAGAGCAAACACATTCAAAAGCTAGCAGAAGGCAAGAAATAACTAAAATCAGAGCAGAACTGAAGGAAATAGAGACATAAAAAACCCTTCAAAAAATCAATGAATCCAGGAGCTGGTTTTTTGAAAGGATCAACAAAATTGATAGACCGCTAGCAAGACTAATAAAGAAAAAAAGAGAGAAGAATCAAATAGACACAATAAAAAATGATAAAGGGGATATCACCACTGATCCCACAGAAATACAAACTACCATCAGAGAATACTACAAACACCTCTACGCAAATAAACTAGAAAATCTAGAAGAAATGGATACATTCCTTGACACATACACTCTCCCAAGACTAAACCAGGAAGAAGTTGAATCTCTGAATAGACCAATAACAGGCTCTGAAATTGTGGCAATAATCAATAGTTTACCAACCAAAAAGAGTCCAGGACCAGATGGATTCACAGCCGAATTCTACCAGAGGTACAAGGAGGAACTGGTACCATTCCTTCTGAAGCTATTCCAATCAATAGAAAAAGAGGGAATCCTCCCTAACTCATTTTATGAGGCCAGCATCATTCTGATACCAAAGCCGGGCAGAGACACAACCAAAAAAGAGAATTTTAGACCAATATCCTTGATGAACATTGATGCAAAAATCCTCAATAAAATACTGGCAAACCGAATCCAGCAGCACATCAAAAAGCTTATCCACCATGATCAAGTGGGCTTCATCCCTGGGATGCAAGGCTGGTTCAATATACGCAAATCAATAAATGTAATCCAGCATATAAACAGAGCCAAAGACAAAAACCACATGATTATCTCAATAGATGCAGAAAAAGCCTTTGACAAAATTCAACAACCCTTCATGCTAAAAACTCTCAATAAATTAGGTATTGATGGGACGTATTTCAGAATAATAAGAGCTATCTATAACATTCTTTGTTTAATTTAAAATGATCAGTTCTTTCCTTCAACTCAATTATAGTATCATTTAGAATAAATTATCATTTGATTTCAACCATCCCAAAATATATGAAGAAAATCTCTTTTCTTGGACACTGATTTGCACTTATTCTCAAAAGCATCTTGCTCACTAGCTTCCTCCAGGAGAAGTCAGCACCTCTCCCTTATTTTCAGAACAACTTGTATACTGCTCTTGTTACCTTTTTGGGGATTTTTGCTTATGTATCTCCTCTCCAACTATACTCTTAGTCTTTTGAAGATGGAGCAGAAACTTAATTAAGCTCTGAGCACAATGCCTGCCACATAAGTACCATCCTATTAATGTTGGATGAGTTAACATTGTCCTCACAAGAATTTCACCAGGTCTAGGGTAAGTTGCAGGTGCCATTTAAAAATTATTTCAAGATTTAATCAAAGTATAAGTAGTATTTTGGTATTTTCTCTCTTTTATAACTTTTAATTTTTCTACAAAGGAAATAAGAAGTGAATGATGACTAATTTGAAAAAAAAATCTTTAAGCAAATAGTGTGGGGAAATAGCATAGAGGAAAGAAGGTTATAAAACTGTTCCAAAAGGCTGTCTGACAGAATATAAGTTAATCATGGAACAAAATTTCTATTGTCATTAATCTTGCCTGAGATTTCCCAACTTCCCTTAGGATGGCAGATGGAGAGGTAACACACAAACCAATTCGTCTATTATTTCACACAAGGGACTCAACTGAGTACTTACTCTAAATTTTGAAAAATATCTTATATTCTGTAAAATAATGAATAGATATAAAGGAAATTATGTTAAAAGTAAAAAGTCATAGATTAGACAAAATAAGAAAAATATGAATTTTTTTCAACCCATGATAAATATGCACAGTTTTGTATATTCCCCTGAATTTGCTTTTTAGAAGTTTACTTTGGTAAGGTGGAAAATTTTAGAGGAAATGATGCTTGGTTTATTGGCAAATTCAATATGGTTATTAAGTATTATACAAAGCACTGTTCTATAGGGAAGACACAAGGGTCTAACAAAAAGAAGGCAGAGTAAACAAAAAAAGTCTTTGTATATTTTTCTTCCCTATAGCACACAGAGGAAGTATAGGTCTTCCCTATAGCACACAGAGGAAGTAAACTAAAGTTAGCTCATTAGAAGGGCTAACATTGGGAAAATCTTGGATAATTTGAGCATCAAAATAAGTAACAAAAGTAAACACTTATAGCACAGTGAATAAGTATTCATTTGTCCACCCTGATACAAATAAATAAATAAGGAAAGTCATTCCTTGCAATAAAAATCCAACTTCTAAATTTAGAAGGAATAATTTAATTAGAAAAATCAACATTTGACAAGAATTATCAATAAATACTATAATCAGTAGGTAAAAGTTGGATAGGAAACATTATTCCCATTGTCTCAAAGTATCTCCACACTAAATACTTACTAATTACAAAAGGAAAACAATAACTTTACAATGGAGAAATCTGTGGTGAAGCCACCTTAACCAAGTGATAAAGTTAATATCACTGGAAATGAAATTTGACTTCATGTGTTTCCTGACACGATGTGCTGAAAACACAGCATCATTTTTTTTTGTTTTCTCCTGTCAAAAGTCTATAACACAAATTGATTCATAAGGAATAATCAGCCAAACACCAGATGAGGGACTTTCTACAAAATAATGGCCAAATTATTAAAATATATCAATAATTAAAATAAAAGCTTTGTTTCCAAATTAATGACGGAGTATTTCACGTTACAAAGACCAACAAGGCATGACAACAGAAAAAAAAGGCTGGGCGCGGTGGCTCACGCCTGTAATCCCAGCACTTTGGAGAGGCCAAGGCAGGCAAATCACCTGAGGTCAGGAGTTCAAGACCAGCCTGGCCAACATGGTGAAACCCCATATCTACTAAAAATACAAAACTTAGCAGGCATGGTGGAGGATGCCTGTAATCTCAACTACTTGGGAGGCTGAGGCAGAGGAATCGCTTGAACCAGAGAGGTGGAGATTGCAGAGAGCTGAGATGGCACCACTGCACTCCAGCCTGGGTGACAGAGCAAGATTCCATCTCAAAAGAAAAAAAAAAAAGAAAATACAGGATCTGAGATTTTCTTTTCCTACAAAGGACATGTGGCCAATTGGTAAAATCTGAATACGTTCTACAGACTACAGTATTATGTACATATTAATTTTTTGATTTTGACAATTATCATATGGTTATGAAAAAAATTGTTCTTAAGAAACACCTATTAAAATGTTTAGGGACATCAGGCCTGCAATTAACTCTTAACAGTTAAGATTATATAAAATATATAAATGTATACATATGTGTGTCTGTGTGCATGTACATATGTGCACATACATCTGCTTCAGTTTTAATCAGTGGTTCTCTTTGATCTTAACCCAATTTGAAGAAAATATACAAAGACTTTTTTTGTTTACTCTGCCTTCTTTTTGTTAGTACCTCAGAAGTATTCAGCATGGGAAAAGAAGAGCAATTCAAGCATAATGCAAACCAACCATTTGGGTCTCCAGTACTATAAATAATCCTGAGTTACTACAGGCAGACCGTAAATTTGGTCTGTATAAAACCTTCCTCACTTTCCATTCCAACCCACAGCTACTTTTCCACAAGAGAAAGAAATCTATATACTATGTGCATAGCTATAGATATATGGATATTTTAAGCCAACTTACAAAGGCAAAAATCCTTACCCCAATCCTACCAGTCACTTCAAACAAAGCAAGACAACATGCAATAAAATAACAAATGCAAGATATAGTTATCATTTTGAGAGTACCCAATCTCCCCCACCCATGATTCCCTATGAACACTGTGGTCTCCCTTTGGATGAAATTCTCCATTTGGGATTATCTTAATAGTTAGGACCTACCTTGTACTATTGCCTCCCACTGAGGACAGAAAAGGACAGAGCTTCTCTCTGTTTCACTCACTCCCTGTTAGCCTATCAGCCACTTGCTTCTGGCAGCTTGAAACGTGAAGTTGTTTCTGGAGGCCAGATTCCTTGCAGCAGCAATAGAATTCTGCTATGACTGTGGCCCCTGCTTCCCCCAGAACTCTCTGGCATCTGTAAATTTTCTGTATCAGACTCCACATTCCCATCAACTTGTATTCCCCTTTCTTCCTCCACTAGCCTTCCAGTAAAGTCTTCTGGGGTTTAAAATAACCAATCAGTTTCTCTCTCTTGGAATCAAAAATCCCAACTGACAAAAAAGTTATTAGAATTTATAAAATCTCAATGTAAAATAAGTTTTGCTAACTCTACTAATAGGAACCCAATAGGGGTCTGTTTACATGTGAGCAAATCTCTTTGGGGCACTTGCAAGTGTGGAGAGAAGATTGGCTTCACATTTGGTCATGGCCTCTCTGGCTATTTAGAGATAGGCTTCCATACAGATTAATTCCTACAAGAGGCAATTAAAGCTAAGTTCCTTTGATGTGCTGGAAGTTGAGATAAAAACGAAAAACTACCTGACTCTCAATAAATTTGCTAAAACATTTTAATTGAACATGTGGCTATTTCCAGAGGCTGTCCAGCTGGTAGAGGCTCTTTACCTACAAAAGCACAATCACTGTTTGGCAACCTGCATACTGTCTCTAAAATAGCATCCTCCAACACCTCCTCCATAAATAAAATTTATTCCCCTATGGATTATTTTTTCTTCCACAAAGAAAAGTCTTTGTTTTCAAAAAGAAATTGGATTCCATACTAAAAATTTTAGTCCATTTTTCTTTATGAATTTAGATTGGAGAGCAATTGAAAATGCCTCTGATTAAAATGGAAGTTATCATTTTCTCTTTAGCTGCAAATAATATCAAAATACATTCAATGATTAGGAAGTACAGTAACAAGCCTCCTGTCATGATGGTAAAGCAGGAACATCACTTCAGTAATATAAAATTCTTAAAACTGTGACAGGGTCCAAAGGCATTCGTTTTACATAGATCACACAAGCCCTTGTTCATGCTCAGATGTGCAAATATAACTGTGTCTATAACTTGGATCCAAATTTATTTAGGTTATAACCTGTATAGAATATTATTTCATGATACTTATGTTATAAAAATTGTTCTCTATACCCATCTACACATTTGAAGAGTTCATACTTTCTAAAAGGAATTTACTTTGTCGAGTTCTTTTCCCCAAAATACTAATCTGAGTCAAGTCAACTCCTGTGTAATCTTTTAATGACTCACCACTGCTTAGAGGATAAATTCAGACACCTTGGTATGATATACAAGGCACTTGTAATCTGTTTGCTGTTAACTTTTGCATGTTGTTCTCCCACCATTTCCTTTCCTACACTCTTGCCTCTTTCCACCCTCAAATCTTCACACACTGCTCTCTTCCTACCTCAGTGTCTTTGCACACCCTCTCCCAGCTCTTTGAATGCCTCTGGCTTCTTTCTATCTGTTCAAAGTCAACTCATGAGTCAAGATCTAACACTTGTGTGAAATTGTCCAAGAAGCACAGAGGAGAATCTAGGTAAATGATGGAAGTGAAAATTTATCCACAGTAAATAGTAACTTAATGAGAATGATTATTTAGAATATGCCATGTACCAAGCACTATTCTGGGTTGTGAATATGACATTGAAAAAAAAATTCTGCCTTCAGAGATCTGACGTTGTAGTAGGTGATGACAAAAATAAATACATAAATAAATAAAATAAGTAAGTAAACAGTGTAGTCTGCTAGAAAGCGGTGTCAGAGAGGGGAAAAATGCTAAACAAGGCAGGGAGGATAGAGAGGGCCAAGAAAACAAGTTGTGAGTTTAAAGATAGGCAAGATACTTTCATGGGAATGAGACACTAAAGGATGGAGGGATCCCATTGTGCAGATATCTAACAGAAAGGTACAGGCATGACAACAGTTGAACAAGAGCTAGTGCAAAGGCCTGAGGCAGGAACATGCCCAGCACATATGAGAAACGGCGAAGAGTCCAGTGTAGTTGGAAAGGAAAGAGGGAAGTGTGGAAGTCTGAGGAGGTGAGTTCAGAGAGATAAAGGGTAATGGAGGAAGATCATGTAGATTCTCATAAGCAGTGGATAAGTGGGGAGCCACTGAAGCTTTTAATCAAAGGAAGAACACACTCTGCCTACGCTGTCATCAGATCATTCTGGCTGCTTTGTAAGAAGAGAAAAAAAAAAGCAAAGGTGAAAGGAGGGAACCAGTTAAGAAGCTACTATAATACTCAAAGCAAAAGATGATGGTAACTTGAATGAAGCTAGAGCAATGGAAGTGGTAAAAAGTGACAGGTTCTGGACATAATCTGATCATAAAACCAAGGAATTTTTTGAAAGATTAGGCATGGGGTATAAAAGAAAGAGAGAAGTCAAGGATGATACCCAGATTTTTGGCCTGGGCAACGGGAAGAAAAGTACTTGCATAAGAAGAGGCAACCCCTGACAATAGTTAAGTTCAAGATGAAGATGAGGAGCTCAGTTTTGGACATGCTCAGTCCTCTTTAAAAAGCCAGATGACTGGGGAAATGGTCTTTGAAGGCTATTTTTTTTCAGTTCTAAAAATACGTGGGCCTGAGAAAATGCTAAGTACCATACACTCTCTGGTATCAAACAGCTTTTCATACATGTACCATCACTCCCACCTTGTTAAAAGGAGGCAAACTTTATACAGTTAAAACCATTCAAGAACAAAATTAAGGGTGGGTGGTAAATATATAAGGCACTAATTTGGATATCAAAATAAAAGACAAATTTGGGGGATCTTGGGAAGTAAAGACACCATTAACTTTTATCTAATGATAAAAAGCTTTCTAGTTAGCTCTTCCACTTACATACATGAAAAGCAGGATTCCAGATTTTTAAACATAATTGAGATTATGATAGAAAATATGATTCAAATATGCTCATAAAAACCTTTTTTCAACAACGATAACATATTTTCATTGAGCAATGTGAAACCCATGGGCAAAGAAAGGATCCCAGAAACCCTTTTTCAGAACACACTGTAGCTTACATGGGGAATAAATATTATAATTCAGATAGAAATACATGTACCACACATTTGTTTTCTGCTCCACCAGGTGATTTACACCTGTATTAATGATGGACTGCCCAGACAATCCCCCTCTACTTGCCTCTCAATCAACAAAGCTGTCATCACCTGAAGAGTCGGATCATACAACTACTTATTTGAGAAGCACTGTGTCCTTTCTTAAAATGGTAAATTATCATAAATATGATATTCTCTGCTTTTTTCAAGTCTCTAAATATATTTTATGGTTAAACACTTAAATTGGAAAATATTTACACATAAAAATTTTAGGGAGTATAAATTAAAACTAAACGTTAAGGCATATACAATGCCCCACCTTTCAAATGCTGTCAGGCCAGGCAGTCATGAGTAGAGTGGAGGAGGGTGGAAATTGTAGAAACTAATAGGCTGTATCAGTAACCAAAACTTTTTCCTAACATGCGACCTTATAAACCTTTGAATTTTGATGGATTTTACCATATAGATTAAATCATGGATAAACTGACTTCTCCTTTATTACTTTTACCATCCCAATCCATTTTACCATCAAATTTCAAAGTCCAAGACCTGTTAGGAGGGGAAAAATGGCTAAGTGCATATAAATATCCTGATTCGTATCTACTTTAAGGACACAATGGGCTATGTCAATTGAAATCAACAGTTGTCACTCCTCCCTCATCAACCAGCACATGCATACACACACACACACACACACACACACAAACACACACACAAGTATCCACACCCCTCTGCAGCCTCTGGTTGCATGGATCAGGAAGCATATGGGAAGCGCTTCCTATGAATCTGCTGAAACTCTACCACAGCCAATAAAAAATTAAAATATGTGTCCCCCAGGACTGAAAAGCAGAATGAGAGCTGGAAAGACATCATTATTAATGCAAGGAGCAAAGCACAACGCCAGGTTTGAGGTGGGTTCTTTTTTAATATAAAGTGACATTTCCTATAACCTCTGGACCATAAGCCTGCATGTCTGATATAGATAATTTCTTCAGAAATTGAGAACACCAAATTTGTGTGGGATAGCAGTAAATTGGGGTCAAAAATGAGGGACGGTTTCAAGTTCCTGTTTGTCTCTGCATCACTTCTGCAATGTTCCGATTATATTTTCATGCATTGGCCTGTAGTTGGGTATTAATAGAATGTTTTGACAATTACGTATAAAAGATGCAAAAGCAGCACCCATAGTCTGACTGATGAATATTGTCTTTTCAAACTCTGTCAGCTTTCCTAAGCTTGGAAACAGCACAAGATTACTGTGAAGGAAAACAGATTCAGGTCAGCAACCCTGAATATAAAAGCTCCACTTGCAATATATTTGTAATAGTGAGAAAAGCAATTGCCCATGAATTCTTGGTGAACCAAAAGCAATTAGATTTACAAAAAAGAGAACTGTTAGAAATAAGTTTTCCATAAAAAAAGCACAGACACTATTCCCATTACTGAAGTCCATCAGAACTGATAGTGTTTGTAACTGAATATTCCAAACGTGTTAAAAATAAACAGCATCATTTTTATTCAAGGTGACTAAGAAATAAAGTTGGTGTTTTCAACTTTGTTGATATTTGTGGCTGGGGCCTGTAGGAATGCATTTAAGAGGTGAATTCAAAATCTGTCAGACAAGGTAGTGTTTAAATCTCTCAACAAAATGAAATCTAATACTGTTCCTTTAATGCGAGCTGGGAAAGAGTGTGAGTAACAGTTTAATCAACCCCCAGCAGCTAAATGGATAGATGAGAGTAGACTGGGGAAGCAGAGCTGCATAAAACAGAGAAGAGCAAGGAAAAAACAAGTAATATCTTGTATTACAGATAGTGCTTTTCTTCTAGGCTCACAACACACTTCAAATGAATTCTCTAATTAATCCTGATAATATTTTATGAGGGATTGAGCGGGGATGGTTTATTGCCTACTGTATATAAGGAAAACAAGAAGACTAAATCTCAGCCTGTTTAAGGTCACATAGGTGAGAAAGCCAGGAACACAATTCAGATTTCCTGGCTCATTCTCGTCCGTTCAGACTGTAACCGATCTGTGCACTCCTGTGTTCTTTAGGTGGGGGTTTTGAGGTGAAAGGGTATTAAAAACACACCAAAATCTCACAAATGGACCTAACTGGGAGGGGGTGTTCTAGCATTCAGTGCATAGAGGCCAGAAATGCTGCTGAACATAATGCGCAGGATAGCCCCCGCAACAAAGAATTATCTGGCTCAAAATGTCAACAGTGCTGCTGTTGAGAAACCCTGATTTACAGAGAAAATATTTGATTTCTGCTACCCGTGTTTTATTTTGCATCATACTTTTAAAAACAGGCAAATCTTTAACTATTCTTTAGATATATTAGTCAACATAATGCAGGACAAATTCCCTGAACATTTTGGTAACTCTAATCTTCGTGCAAAGAGAGCTATAATTCAGTCAGCTAATGTTATCACACTCAAAAAAAAAAAACCCACAAAATGTATTTATTGAATCACACAAAGAAATTAAGAAAATGATTACCAATTATCTTGGCAAGAATTCCTTAATTAATTGCCAGCACTAATACCATGTTATCTTCCCCATTATTAAAACAATGTGACTTCTATTAAAAACTATTCATTAAAGATTCATTCCTTTCTTATTGCATCCTGCTGTTTCATATCTTATGTTGCTAAAGGGCTGCTTCCTACAGGATGAAGTACTGCTGTGCAGAGAAGCAGCTCCAACTATAGAATTTATGTTGAGAGATGTTATGCTTCTGAATGTTCTCTCTAAAATATCATAAAGATATTATTTGTAAAAGCAAACAAAGCTGATGTATAAAGGTCAGGAGTGTCTGTGTGGTTACACACCCACTTAAACACTAAGATGTTAGTATTTCCTGCAAGTATTCCATTCTCTTGAGGATACTAAGCACTAAGCACAGGAACTGCCATTTTTATGGAACAGTAAGGTGAAAACACCAAGAGCTCGTTAGAATGAGAAACCTGTACCTTCCAAAAGTAACTTGCATATTTCCTCTCAGACTTATAGCAGTGATTCTCAGTGAGGAGAATTTTGCACCCTCTCCCCCAGTGGACTTCTGGCAATATCTAGAGACATTTTTAGTCTTCACAATGGAGAGGGAGTGCTCTAGCATTCCACACACAGAGGCTAGAAATTCTGCTGACCATAATGCAAAGGACAGCCCCCGCCCTTCCCCAACAGAGAATTATCTGGTTCAAAATGTCAATAGTGCTGCTGTTGAGTAAACCTGATTTACAGGGAAAATATTTGATTTCTGCTACCAGTCACCACTGTTGCTTTTAGCAAACTCAGTCACAGCTGCAAAAGTACTTAAGTTGATACTTAGGTAACACTGCTAAAATAATTAGAACCTAGGGATTCTCTTCTACATTTCTCCCCATAAATGAGCTGAATAAAGAGTGGAGTAATTAGCTAACCAAAGATTTATATAATTGCCACTAAATGCCCCCACTCTCAACCTCTCCCCAAACCCACCTCTAATGCTAAGAATGGCCAACATTTTGAGTTAGAAAAGAGAAAAATCCTATATGTCTGACATATTTGAATTGAAGCCAAGGAGACAAAACCAAACCTTAGTCTGCAACTTCCCTTGGGAAATCTTTGTTCATTTTAATACTTGTTCAGTCAGCTGTCTGACTCAATGACAAGGTTTTTATCTCTAATGTGAGTGGCTTTGAAGGCTACTTGCATTATCCATTCCTCAGCAACTGCTGCTGAAACCGCAACATTGCAAACTGATAATTAAATCCAGCTGCCTCTACTATGAATTCAATCATATCAACATTAGCAGCATTCTTAGGGGTTGTTGGTGGATTTCTTTTTCCATTTCTAGACAACATAATTAACTTCACTAGCCTTCTTAAACAAAACTCAGAGCTAAAGAATACTATGAATTAAACTACTATAAATACTTTTCATGCAAAGGAATGCAGTTGGATCATTAGGATGTTGAATCAGTGCCAATGCATTGCTTGTGTTTAGCCATTTGACCTAATACACTTCAATATTACACTCAACATTTAGTAGAGTTTCAAATTTCACTTGCAAAAGCTCATGTTAACTGACAATTTATCACTCATGAAAAATTAACTCCAGCGCCTGTAAACAAGATGTAAGCCAACTCGTCAAACATTGAAATGTACCCACTAAAAAATACCAAAGTGCTTTCATAGTGTTTGGATTAAGAATGCAAAGGAAATATGTCCTAATCCACTATAAGATAATCTGTCACAGTTCAAATATTTCTAAATTATCTGATTTTTAAATTACAATGTCACCCATAGAAATACTTAGCTCAAAATACACTTTAAGCCACTTAATTCGTATGACATTAATAGCAAGAAAAATTTTCTTAATAACATGTTTACTTGCACAGGTCTAACAGTTGTTTTACAGAACAAAAGTTTTAAAACAAATACTACAAGTATTGTTTATTCAACAGCCAGTGACTATATTAATTTTACATTGCTGTTGTAGCAAATCACCACAAACTTAGTGGCTTAAAATAACAAAAGTATATTATCTTATAGCTCTTTAGGTAAGAAATCCTAAATGGGTCTCACTGAGCTAAAATCAACCTGTCTGCAGGGAAGGCAGAGTTTCCTTATGGAGGCTCTAAAGGAGAATTTGTTTTTCAGTTGTTTTTTTCCCAGCTTCTATTGCTTGCCTGTGTTCTTTGGTGCCAGTTATTCTCTTCCTTCATCTTCAAAGTCAGCAACACAACATCTTCCTATCACCCTCTTTGTGGGTGATATGGGAAAAATTCTCCACTTTTAAAGATTCAAATTATTAGATTGTATGCACTCAGATACTTTAGGAAAATCTCCTTATCTCAAGGTCCTTAAACTTAATCACGTCTGCAATGTGATTATCCAAGGTAAGATATTCTTTTGCTATCCAAGGTAAGATATTCAAAGCTTCTGAGGATTGGGATAGGGACACTTTGGGAAGCTATAAATGACAGTTCGCCTACCACAGTGACTCTTCACTGAATTTTTTTTCCATTAAAACACATTATCAAATCAAAAATACATGTTCTTGGATATGAGAAAAATTACCTTTAAGAATTTAATGCTTTTTCTTTTACTCATATACTATGAAGGAAAAACTTATCTTTCATAGGAAGCACTGGCAATGATATTTAAAGTACTTACAGCATAATTGAATTTAATGTTAAAAGTGTCCTAGAAGGAAACTGTAATGAACATAGGTTTGATCTGGAGTCACACAGGACAATCTGCTGCACATACTTATGCCATGACAGGGGATGTGAGTTCTATAGACTCACAGCATAAACAGAACTTTGGTAACCTCAGAAAGCTTGATGGCAAACTTTATGTCCAATAATCACCCCTTATTTATTTGGAGAATATCCTTTGATGTTATAGGCTAATATTTATACTTCTCAATAAATGAAACAAATATGGCTTGTTATTGTGTATACATGGTCAGTCAGAGTCTGTTAAAATAATCATTTTTTAGGCACCATTGGTAGGAGGCGCTTTTACCTGGTCTGCCTACTCTGGACACAGGAATTATGAATATCAGGATTTTAGTCTATCAGTTAACACATTTTCCTTAGCAATTTCCAAAAGAACTTTGTAGGGTTAAGAATAGACTTACTGAAAATGACTAAATCTACAGAAGGCAATGGACTATCAATAGTTTACCTAAATGGAATATATGCTTACAATAACTAGGAATGACACAAATATGAACTGTAACGTGGCTCATTCATTAAAAAATATTCACTGAATGCTTCCTATATGCAAGGTACTCTTCTAAGCCCTGAGGTATCAGAAGTGAGCAAAAAAGACAAAAATTCCTATCCCTAAGACGTTTCCATTCTGTTGGGGTAAACAGTCAATAAACAAGATACACAGTATAAGAGACAGTGTTAAGTGCTCAGGAAGTAATAAAGTTGCATGGAGGACAAGAGTTGTGAGCAGTGGCAGAGATGGGGAAGTAACGTTTTGATAAAAAGCTTGGGCAAGCCCCACAGAGAAGGTAACAGTTCAGCTATGGATATCAGGCATTACCTCATTATGCAAGCCTAGCTCAGGGGACACACTTCTGTCCAGGATCTGCTCTGATTCCTATTTATCTATTGACATTTTGGTTAGGTATCATCTGCTGTTGGTCTTCTGAATCCCATTTTTTATTCTTTGAGACAGAGTCTTACTCTATCACCCAGGCTGGAGTTCAATGACATGATCTCGGCTCACCGCAACCTCCACCTGGGTTCAAGCAATTCTCCTGCCTCAGTGTCCCGAGTAGTTGGGATTGCAGGCATGCACCATCATGCCCGGCTAATATTTGTGTACTTAGTAGAGACAGGGTTTCACTATTTTGGCCAGGCTGGTCTCGAACTCCTGACTTCAAGTGATCCACCCACCTCGGACTCCCAAGTGCTGGGATTACAGGCATGAGCCACCGCAGCCTCTGAATCCCATATTTTAGCATGTCCAATATTCACCTTGGTTTGGTCATTCATCTGGGTGATATGTAGCACTAATTCCTGAGACTTTTCCCTCCATATTAATGTTTTTCCAAAGCTTAGGCTTTAAGGCCCACTGTGTACCAATAACTCTGGCTATTTCTATATCTATTTACCAGAACTTAGATATGTCCAAGTCTAGATGTTTGGAGGAAGCACAACTCTCCTCCACTGAATGTGCTACAAAATACCTATAATCTTTTAAAATCATTTTATTGGCAATGAGAGGGTTGTGTTTTAACAGCATGGGGCATGACATTGAGATTTATTCTAAATCATAAGAAGAATATTCACTATCTCTGAAAGACAGCACAGATTTATAGCAGATTCTCTGTAAATACTTGAATATGTTGCTTCTTGTGTACCAGGTGTTTTGCTTTCAGCATCATCTTCATTTTAACCTTACAAGGTGAGACTTACAGTCTCCATTTAAATGTGACAAAACAGGTTGAGAAAGGTTAAGTAATCTTCCTAAGATTGCATAGCTGATAGGCACAAAGGCAGGAAGTCTGCAAAACTCTTGAGTCCTCCTCCCCAGCAAGCTGCATCTGGGACTAGTGGCTAAATCATGCCCTCCTGACTTCCTGCATGTTTTTGTGATCTAACTGATTAATCTATATTATAATTGGATGTTAAAATGGTAGTGCATTAAGACAAAAGGTAAAATCGGTTTTATTTGGAATCCTTTGGGAATGAAGCAACCTAGCTCAAAAAAAAATTAAGGTATACAAACAGGTTCTAAACTTTCATACCCTAAATATAACATTTAATAAAAACACTTCTAAAATATTCCATAAATGTCCCTTGCCTCTTATTCACTACTCGGGATCATCATTGGGGTCATTAATTATTCATCATGTTCAATATGTATGTAGATATAGATCCACATATAGTTTGGATAACCAGGTCTATAAAAAGTCCACTCAATCCTAGGTAACTTTATGATTGACTTATCTCATTCACATTAAGATGAACAAAGAATATAACTGGCTGCTAGGCATTATAGCATGACTACCTTTCTGCCAAATCACTTTGATGGTGGTGGTGATAATGATGGTAGTGATGTGGTGGTTGTTTATTGGGTGCTTGCTACATGTGAAGCACTGGATCAAGTAATTTGTATAGATCCTCATTTAACCATTCCATTACCCTATCAGGTAAGAACTGTTCCTCTTATTCATTGTACAGACTGAAGAAATTAAGGTACGGAGAGAATAAATAACTTCCAAAGTCACCAACTGGAAATCTGAGGACTCAGCTAAAACATCACAAAGTCTAATTCCAGAACAATTTTAACGACTACACTCTACTGCCTTGAATCAGAGGATGACACAGCCGTTATATGTAATACTCATCTTCCAGAAAATAATTATCTTCTATTGCCAGCTTTTCACCAGCATTCAGAGTGGCAAAGAACATTAGCTAATGTTGGTTTACTAATGAAACCAATCAAAGACAAGTCCTCCGGGACTTGTACTCAACCGGAGAGACACAGAATGCCGTAGTGAAGGGATTGGACTCTGCAATCAGGCTGTCTGAAACTGAATCCAGGCTTTTCTACTTACTACCTGTCTGACCTTGGGCAACTGGCATAACTACTCTGTGCCTCAGCTTTAAGTAGTGATAGTATCTACTTTGTGGATACATTACAGAGATTAAATAAGCAGTTTATATAAAAAAAAAACTTGGAATAGTGCCTGGCAAATATTAAGTGCTCAGTAAATAATTTATTAAAGTCTCATCTGCATTAATAAGGACTAAGACACACAGTCATTTAAAGACTCATGCATTACTATTGTGGGGATGCTTTTCTCCATCAAACTCAGCAAGTGGAAATTCCAGCAGAACAGAATGAAGTCAAGAGTATAGCCTTTATTGGCATTCCAGGAAGCCTCAACTTAGAGTCAAGCAACCTGGGATCCAATTTCAGCTGTCACTAACCAGAATTAAAGCTGGCACTCGAATGTGCCAGAAGACGCTGAGATTGTCAGTAGGTTTGCCCCTGTGTCTTGGGCACATGTGCCTATCTGGAAACTAGAAAATGACAACATTCAAAAAATTAACATGTCCCTCTTGATTAGTCTGTTCTCAGCATTTTATAATAACATGCCAGTTATTCAGAATAGTTAATAAAATATATATTCTAGGTAGTTTAATCTTGGCACCAAAACTTTTACTTCATATATTTACAAGAAGTTTCCCAAAACTGGTTACGTAATTTCCTGAGTTAGTGAACAAAATGTAGTAAAGATCTGGTCACAAACTATGAATTCTTCAGTGTCAAGTATACACCATCAGGAAAGCAAAGACATACAAGACATGATCTCAAGCTCAAAGTGTTGTCAGGATGACAAGATTCAGACCACTAGAATACTGACCACAGATATGGGAGGGTAGATTAGCTCAGGCTCCCACAACAAAATACCACAGTCTAGGTGGCTGAGACAAAAGAAATTTATATCTCACAGTTCTGGAGGCTGAGACGTCCAAGATCACGGTGGCAGCAAGGCAGGTTTCATTCTGAGGCCTCTTCTCTTGACTTGCCAGTAGCCACCATCCTGCCTCACAAACCTCTTCTTTGTTGCACATGAAGAGAACAAGCTTTCTGGTGTCTCTTCTTATAAGGACACTAATCCTAGCCTATCAGGACCCACTCTTATCACCTCATTTAAACTTACCTCCTTTTAGGTCCTGTTTCCAAATGTAGTCACGATAGAGGTGAGGTCTTCAATGTATAAATTGGGGAAGACACAATTCAGTCCATAGCAGGGGCCAAATAACAGAAATGAAAATGCAATAGGAGTTACAAAGACTAAAACTAATAGTGAGTTGGTGAAGAGTTGATTTCACAGAAAAAAAAAACTGTACTAAGATGGGCCTGAAAAATCTTACAGCCTATAAACCTGAACTCATTCCCTAATCTCAAGATGCTGTTTAGGAGGATCCTGGAGCCAAATTTGGACTCCACCAGAAGGAATTCTATGAATTGTATTAATGTCTGCTAAGGGAGAGAAAGCAGAAATGGAGAAAAGTCCAGCTCTCCCCTCTTCAGCCAGCTCTGCTTCCTCCTGCACTTCTGCTCCCTAAATCTGTTCCACTATCTATCCATCTCTTGTTTTCTCTCATCTTCGTCTTTCCTCAGCTTTTCTCACTTTTCTCAGGTTTTCCAGCAAGGCCATCAAAGCTTTCCTTTCTTTTGATGAATAAAATAACTAAACACTGTGTCCCATTCAACCCTAAAGTTTTAACTACTCTCAGCTTCTGTAACAGGTAGTTCTTCACACCTGTTTTTAATATTTAAAAACCCAATTGTTTATCACTGTGGTCATCAGCACACCTACTAGTTAGGTTTACTTAGGATTAGTCCTCAATAAGATCTGCCTGTATTAATGCCTGCCTCTCTCAGACCCACAGAATCTATAGATTTGGGAGGAAAAAGAGAACTCAGAAATTGAGTTTAATTTCTTCTTTGTACAAAGGAGCATGACAATGCGCAGGAAATTTAGTCACTTTCCTAGGGAAAGCATAAAGATTTTAACATAGAAACAGGTCTTCAGCCTAGAACTTCTAAACACATTCTCTTTTGAAGGAGTTGTTCCATATCCTCCAACAAAACCCCTTTGTCGACAACAGGGTATATCATCCTGCTGGTCTGTCCAGTCTACATTTCTTTTGCCTTCTCTTCCACTCACTCCATTCCTAGAAAGTTTCTAGGATGCTCTTGCCATTAAGTTGTAAATTTATTAGGTTCATTTCTTAATGCTTCTTAAATCTCTAAAGCATTCTCATCCAAGCCTTGCATGGCATATGTGCCTACTCCTCAGCTCCTCAACACCTGGTATGAATCAGATTGTACTAATAGTCGAAGAATCCTTCAATAAATCCTGTACTGTCTGCTACAATGCAGTAGGGCATATTGAATTTCTGAGGCCTATAAAATAGAGGTACTAATGTTTCATACATAAATGATAGCTAGTGTTTTCATTAATTCATATCAGTACTTAAAGGTACTGTTTGTTTCTTCTAGTTAATACTAATATTTGTTGGATGCTCCTGAAAATAATAATAATAGCTATCATTATTGGGTACTGTATTAGCTCATTCTCACACTGCTATAAAGAACTGCCCGATACTGGGTGATTTATAAAGAAAAAAGCTTTCATTGACTCACAGTTCCGCACAGCTGGGGAGGCCTCAAGCAGCATACAATCATGGCAAAAGGAGAAGCAGGCACATCTTACATGGCAGCAGGTGAGAGACAGAGATCTCATCAGATCTCATGAGAACTCACTCATTATCATGAGAACAGCATGGGGGAAACTGCCCCCAGGATCCAGTCACCTCCCTCCCTCAAAACGTGGGGATTACATGCCCCTCCCTCAATTTGTGGGGATTACAATTTGAGATGAGATTTGGGTGGGGACACAGAGCCAAACCATATCAGGTACTTACTATCTGCCTGACACTGAAGCAGGTGCTCCCCAGACAGTATCTTATTTATTCCTTTCCACAATCCTGAAACTAGACATTACTGCCTCCATTTTACAGATGGGAGAAAAGTAGTAGCCATTCAAAAAGTGAACAATCCCTTGGAGTCATTTTGTGAATGAAGTCATCGATTTCTTAAACTCATTTAAACCATTTCACATCATAAAGATATCCCTCACTGCTTATTCCATACACATTCTACCATACTCAGATTCACTGGTGAAAAAAACAACAGCCCTCTTCATTCCAAAATGTGTAGTATATTCAGTTCTATCCATTTGAGACACAGAGGATGCAACTGCCATGCAGTTCAGGCAGGTTTTCTGGGAAAAGCCTTGATTTTTATGTCCTCAGTCCCCTTGTGACCAAAGAAGCTCAACAAATTGCAGGGATGCCTCAGAGATGCTTCCTGGGCCTTGCTAAAGGCTTCTCTTTGGCTGAAACACACTGGCCCAGACCAGGGTTGAATCTATAACTGAGCATTTCATTAGTACTAGCTTCTAACTGCCTTAACTGTCCAAGACAAATTTACATAATTACATGACTGCTGAATATATACTTGAAAGGCCTTCAAAGAAAACAGTTTACTCTCTATAAACATCAGTTTTCACACCTCAAAACCATTTCCTAGACCCTTTATTCCAAATAAAAATTGCCTGAAAAATGTATACAGGACATTTAAGTGGTTCTTGTTGAGACTTGCAATGAGATGTTTATGACTATTTATAAACTTCTGCCATCAGAAATCTCTGTGACACTATGGTATCTCACTCACTCTCTTCCATTTTGATTAGGAGAAAAATGCAAACTGCTTTCTTCTCTGCTCCACTTTTGCAAGGTTAGCTAGCACTTTGAGCCAGTAGCAATTGAAAACTAGTAGCTAGAAAGTAATTTACTTCTTTGAGTCTCACTCTTCAGAGCCAGTACAATCTGAGCACATTTTTGCACCAAAGACATTAAGGGAGAATTCCTTTTCAAGTGGTTATTCTTGAATTCATTTACTTTTGACACACACAATGAAATCCCAATTCTCCAGCAGGCAGCAGTGCCTTTGTTTGCTATTTTGTGCACTGTCTATCTCCCTGCATCTTTGAATGGACAGCTGCAGAAGTTTCAGAAACTTGTGAGTGCTTCTTCAAGATGGACTATTACCACCGGAACTTAACTGGCTGATGATTTTTCAATCACCATTTTTCCGTTTCCTTTTTAAAGAGAGTGAAAAATGACAGAAGATCCTCACTTGTAAACAGGTCCCATAAAGCATTTGAATCTGTGGCAAGTGCACTTTCAAGCAATAAAACTATTTCTGATAAATGGCACTATGATTTATAACGTGAAAAAAAAACCCTGAAACAGCTCTTCCAGTCTATAGAAGATATTCCTGTTGGCTGGGTGTCATTTTAAAAGCCAGAAACAAGAGAAAAGGTGAATTTGCATTATCCAGTGAAACATGGGACCTCTAACAAGATGAATGACAGGAGCACTCTGGGACAGGAAATATAACAGTGTCAATTGCAAATTCCAATTCACACAGCCTCAGGTCAAAGAGGCACAAAAATGATAAGATCATGGGATCTCCATTTGAGTCTCATTACCCACACTTATACTGACCTTGGGCAATTTATTTAATTGCCCCTTGCCTCCACCTTCTCATCTCTGAAATAGGAATGATGAACAAATACATTTTTCATAGAGCTGCTATAAGGAGTAAATACACTAATATCACACTCAGTATCTCTTTTCCATTTGATTAGAAGAAAAATGCTCTCTTTGATTAGAAGAAAAATGCACTACTGTCTTCTAAAACACTATCATATTGTGTGGCACCTAGTAAACAACTGATATATTTTAACTATTATACATGAAATTGGAGGCTACGTGGGGGTTTAGATTAAAATAAACTACAGCAATGGGCTGGCTCTATTATATCTGTTCTTAAGCTTATGCCTGGTACTCACCCATTTAAATACAGAAAATATAAAACCACTCAGCATGATTTTAATCAATCCTTTTGCAATTGCATCCAGCCAGGAAAAATAGCTTTGAAGAACCACAAACAAAATTGGCAGACTTTTTCCTTTCATATCCTTGACTAACTTTTTCAAATAAATCTCTTGGTTCATCTTTTTAAAACATCTCACCTTCAAAATATGTCTGCTTCCCTCTTGTTTTCAAATATAAAATTATGTTTGCAGTGTTGGATAAGTCATGTTTTCCATACACCATAGAATTCAAGAAATACTTCAATTACAGAACTTTGGCATACATTCAAATTGTCAACAGTTAACTAGCAAACGTTTTATACATATGCCTCTTTGTGGCAAGACCTCCAAAAGGGGCAGAACTGAAAATAATGAATGCTGCAGGGTGGTCAGAACAGAGATGCTTTCCAAAGTCTGTGCCTGAGAATACAGACACACACATTCAAAACATACAGGCATTTTGTAAGCAACTGTGGAGCAGGGGCATCTGGTAGACCAGAGTCCTCTACTCAAACCAGCTCAGGAAATGAAAATATCTTTCCAAACACCAGTGTGCCGGAAGACGTAATGTGAAAAGGACACATCTAGACTATGAAACAATGACATCAAAGGCAAATTTATACTAAGAAGATTTGCATCCAACTATTTTCAGTCTGAAATAAGGCAACGTGGAAAAAGATCTCATTTTCATATGCCCATTACAATTCCATCTAAGTACCAAGATCATTTTTGGAAGAATACAAAAGAACCATAAGCCATAAATACATATTATTCCCTTCTTTCAACCCAATAGTTTCACTCTAAAATCAGTAAAAAGAAATTAGGCAAGCATCTGAGATTCTCACTCTCAGTTTTTACTCAACAATAAATACACACTGAGGTCCACAGCGAAGGAAGCATCATCCAGAATTACCATTTAGTAACCTACTAGATCTACATTATAAAACTTAGTTATATTCTGCTTAAAATGTTTATAGGCAAAAGGAAAATCAGACTTCTTCTTCTTTTTTTTTTGTTTAAAGTTCCAACTTGAAAAACTGTCCCTGACAACTGCTGAAAACATGCAAGAATTGTTAACAAAAAAAAAAAAAAATACAGTCTTAATTCAATGCAAAGTAACTTCACAACTGCTGGCTACAGGGGTTAGGAATTAGGTAAGAGAAACAGGTCAAGTGGAGTGAGAATGCGAACACAGGGAAGTCATGCTAGAGAAGGCGGCAGGAGCGCTTCTGTAATCCTCCTCCAAGCTGCTAAAGCCAAGCACATGGTGTCAAAACAGGCTTTTTCTTGTTGTGAGAAAACAAAAGTTGCAGAGTAGACAAAGAAACAAGACAACAACATTGGAAGTCTTCCAACAGCAAATTATTAATGCCTTCTCTTTGAGAAATTGCAAGCAGACAGAAAAAGGTCTAACCTGAAGAGAAGGATCAAAGTCTGATACAAAAGCTTTGATGCCCAAGTTGCTCTGTAGCCCCAAAGCACTGTGGAGCCATGAATGCAGCTGGGAAGATTGTTAACTCCGAAAAAATTTTGGAATAAATTGGTTACTTAATCTCTGGGAGGATACAGGAGTGAGATTAGGTAGTGATTAGTTTCCTCTGAAATTTAGTGATGGCATTTAATTTGAAGCTAAATATTTATATTTCTTCAGGGTTTTTGTTTTGTTTTGTGCTCTTGAGCTTTGGTATTTTTAAAAACATATGCCAATGTTAGTCACTGGTTTATATAAATGTTTTATTTAAATAAAAAGGTTTATTTCTCAAAAGTTAACGTTATTGATTGAGTTTGGTGGTATGATGTGAAACTAAGCTATCTATCCCTGGAAAAAGCCCAGCTGAGCTGCTCAGACAGTCACAGCCCTACAGTCCTGTTCATTGTGAGACAACAACCCAAACCACCGATATGATGGCTCAAGGAAAAATAAAATGCCTTTTAAGCCCACCTTTACAGTCTGAAACTTAAAGCTGCACGATAATCAATAAACAAGTTAAATGAAATTCTGATTAATCCATTAATTCACTCATTCAACACACATATTTAAAGCTCAGTTTGTTTTAGGTCCCTTGCCAGGGGCTAGAGATGGAGATGCTAAGATTCAGTCCTGCCCTCAAAATCACAATCCAGAGATCATAGACCCTTAGACTTTGAAGAGGTCTTAAAAGTTATTTTTTTCCTACTATTCATTCTAATATTGCAACCTCCTTTAAGCCACTCCTACCACGTGGTCATTCATAATCTGGCTGTACATCTTCAGTGAAGAAAAGAAACCAACTTCCTTAGGAAGAAAGTTATTTTTTTGGTTTAAAAAGGGTACAAATAAAGTAGGGCTCAATATCATCCCAATAAATAAATAAATAAACAAATAAATTGAAGAAGTAGCCACATTAATTAAGCCTCCGAAACTGAATTCCATCCATTTTCTTTTCGCTCAGCAAAAATGGTTTTATAACCAGGTAAATGGTCCATATGCAGTCATGTTGTTAATGGTTAGATATCAAAATACTGCCTTTAATGTAAAGGGCTGCTTTAAATCACAATATTGAGTCTCACTTATTGATCCCCAGATGATTCTCACAGGCAGTATGTTACAAAAGAGATAAACTGCAGCCAGAAGAACCATCATGCAGTTGAAACACAGAAATGTCTTAGAAGCCTGTTTTCTGTCCAACCTGATTACTTTTTTCCAGGACTTAACAGGGCCAAGATAGGATACACTACATTTCCACATAACAGGTAGGAAAACATGACAATATCTTTTTAAACAGGAAAATTTTTTAGTATAGTAACAATGGACTTTTGGGTCCACAGTATAGTATGGTATATGGTATAGTATAGTATAGTATATGGACCTTTGGGTCCATAGTATAGTAACAATGGGAACCATCTTGCCTTGATTTTTGAAAAGTTGTTTGCTTGCTGTCATCACTACTTTTCTTGAATTTAATCTTTATTATTCCCTTGTAGTAAAACACAATTGATCCAGAATGTCTGAAGAATATTCCTATTCTCTGAAAAATACGATAACCTTAAGGTCACAAATATTTTAGAAGTACTTCAAAATATTTTAAAAGGTAATAAAATATTTACTCCTAGCTTATGCCAAACAAAATAATAAAGCTTCAGAAGGCATTTAACCATTTCTGTTAACCATCAAGAAAATTTCTTATAACCATTAAGAGCACCTCACTTTTGTGATCAAAAGATCTAGGCAAGTGTCTGGCACAATGATTTGTTAAATTAATGAATAAACTGAATGCATTGATGTATAAATAAATGAGCATGTAGCATCTTCAAAGAGCAGTAGAGCTACCCTTTGTTCAAGTATAATCTTGTCAGTGACTAAGCAGTCCATTCCTAGTTTATTTTGTCTACTTCATTAAAGGCTTCTTCATTCCTTTTTAGTACATAAGTGACTCTGAATCATGCAAAACATCACCTATAATTTCATGTTTATTAAACTATTAGATTTTTCCAGCTTTAATTTTTTGTTACATAACTAACTTTTCTTGTTTGTTAATTAGCCATGAAAAAGGATTCTTCACCCTAAAGTATAGTATTTTCCCTAATGTATATATAAAATTTTAATCACAGCTTGTGATAAAAAAACTATTGAGAAATTACTCACAGAAAATACTTCATCCTTCTTTAATTGTCCATAGTCATAAAATAAAACTATCTAAATGAGAAAAATATCAAAACAGAGACTTTGAATCACATTTTTCAAGATATGACAAATATATCAACTTTTATATTTCTTATATTGGCACATTTTGTCTTAGTTTTTATTTCTATTCATTTCCTTGAATATAAACTCTCTGCGTGATTTGCTTCCTTTCAATTTTAATGTCCATCTTGCTCATTCCTTTTCTTGTATCCTTTTGCAACATGACTTTCTCTATAGGTGCCATCCACATTTATCCATAATTCCCTAAATTAACAATGAAGTCACCATTGGGTTTACCTGATGTTCAGAATTCTCTCGAACCCACTGCCAATCATATATTTATGTAGTCAAGCTATCTGAGGTTTTCGTTGTATGTTTTTGTTTCTGTGTAAATGGAGATTATCACAGCCGATGCTTTATCTGAGTAGTCCTTCCTTAGTATATGCAAGTAACTCCAGAGCAGCTGCAACCATATGCTTTATCTACTCTACTTACCCACATTAGAATTAAGATGAAGAACAGAATTTCTTTACTAAACTCCAAGTAGATAGACAAGGAGCCACAACAACTTGTACACAGGGAAAAAAATAGTTTTATTTTTCTCTTCAGGGTATTCTTGACACACTTTTCAGCCAGCTGTAATGTATTCTTGCTTAATTCACAGATTTATTTTGACCCCTCTCCAAGGTTGATGTAATATAAGCATCTCAACATTGCAGCAATTGCAGTATCCGGGAGAAGATTACTTGTGATAAATGAAAGCTAAGCAGGGGTCACTAGAACTTGCAACAGAACAAAACATATCATCTTTTCTGTCAAAATGTAAAAAAATAGCCTTTAGTTAAGTTACATAACTACATTTCCAGTTGTTAAATATTCTTTAGCATATAGTCTGAGAACCATTTTTAAACCATTACAATGACTTCAACAAATGTTCACTCAAGATGCAGGCAGGATCTTAAAACTTCAGATCTCATGTGCTTTATTCTCCTACTCCCCCACACCCCCCTATCTCCAGTGTTCTTCAGCAATAACAGATTATAATAACAATGTTTTTTGCTTGTCTTCTGTGGTTTGCCATCGGATTCAATAAATGGGTGTGTTAAGCCATTACTTTCAAACTATTGAGGCAGTCCAGACACTGTTGTTCTTCACCAATAATGAGGAAAGCCCTCATCTAGTATCATCCTGAACAGGTGATCAGCCACAGAGTGCTACTTAATTTTCTCTGCGTTCCATACTCACAAGGAAACAAAACAGAGACTCAAAGCACTTTAATCTTGAAGGAGAAGAAAAACGTGTAGGGACTTTCATTCTGTGAGAGTTTGGATCAACTGAGAAATTAGAGGGAAGAGTTCCCAAAAGAGACAACCCTCACTTCTGACACCAACTGCAAGATTGGGCATTCCCAAAACAGCCCTCAATTTCAATAATTTGCTAGACAGACTCATAGAACTCACTAAAAGGTCATATTAAAATCCTCCAAGGGAAGAAGTGCATAGGGTAGAATACAGCAACTACCAAAAGTGGAACTTCCATCATCCTGTCCGTCTGTCCCATGGAGACAGAATGCATTACTTTTTTGGTAACAATATGTGACAGTATGCATAGACTATTGCCAACCAGCAAACTTTACCCAAACTCTATTGTTGAGTTTTTGCTGAGGCTCCATTACATACGCATGATTGATTGACTATTGATGTGGTTTATTTCAGTCTCCATTTCTGGCAATCAGGGCATGAGCCAAAGCCCTACCCTCAATCACAGTGTTGGTCTTTCTGGCATAGCAAGACCCAATATAAGACTATAAGTGTGTGTCGAGCCCCCACCACAAATAATATTATTAGAATATCTGTTGATCTAATGTCTCCAGGCAAACAAAGATGCTCTTATCAGGTATGATGTCCAAAGGCTTAGAGATTACTTCCTAGAATCTAGGTCAAAGAGAACTATTTTGGAGTAAAGTTAAATTCTACTGCACACCTTCATTTTCTCTTAAGACTTTTATTTAGGATGCTTATCTTAATGGTAAACACACTTGTTATGATTGTAACTATGGCCTTAGGAATTTGGAAGGTCAAAGGAGACCTATTTAATAAAACGGATGTTAAGAAAGCTAGTTTATAGGAGGATATGTGTGGGGGCAAAGGAAGGAGTGATGATGAGTATGAAATGCAGAAAGATGCTTGGTCAGAGATCCAGACCTTGGCATTATGTCCTTGGGGCAAATACAGCAGGAGCTCTCAGGTTGACTGGCAATTACAAAGGAATGGACTGCCACCAACCTCTAGCACCTGCCTGGGAGGGGACAGACACAGCCAGTTCTGAGCCTCAAGATAGAAACAACATGAACAGCAGCCTGCACACCACATGTAGAGAGATTCCTAAAGCTCCCCTACCCAGCAGGATCTCCCTCCTGATGACTGCCAGAGCTCTGTCACCATGCAGGTAAAGTTTTGTGTTTTCAGAGGCCCCCATTAAAACGCAAATATGTTCAACCAGTAGTATCTATGAATGCTTTAGTTTGAAGTTGCTTATTGGGAAAAGTGATGGAAGTAAAGTTTTATTGGTGAAGGGAAGGAAGAACAAAAATATGAATTATGAAAACTGTATGAGAACACAAATGGAGAAAGATGAGAAAGGCATCCCCAACTCCACTCTGCTTCCTCTGTTTCTCAGCCAGAACAGTGCACAGGATGGTAAATAAAATAAAATTTTTTTAAAAAGGCAAGGAAGGGCCCATTGCAAGCCCTGTTTATCCCTAGGTAGCTGTGGGACAAAACCATAAATCATTAGAGTTAAAGATCTTAGTTGAAGTCTTGGCTCAGCTACTCACAAGCTGTGACTTGGCCAAATCAATTAAGCTTTCTGGGTCTCTGTTACCTCATCTCTAATTTGAGAATATGAGCTCCCTCACAGAGTGGGTGTGAGCTTAAATGAGGTAACATACAGGAAAGCACCTTGTTAAATGTTTTTTTTTTAACTACTATACATATATGTTACTATTAGTTGAGCATTTTGAAAAAAATTTATAATTATATATGCATATAATAATTTAAGAGCTATGATATATAATGTGTATATTACATATAATATGTATAGGTGTGTGTGTGTGTGTGTGTATTCTCCAGAGCATGTTGGTCCTATATGAAATAATAATACTCAAGATATCCCCATTAGAAAGGCTACAGAGTCAAATGGGTTTGAATACACAGAAATCTATATGCCCTTCTATGGGAGTAAAAATATACATTAGCATATTAAAGACTCTGGAAAGTCCTTACAAGAATGAATAGTATGTTAGGTTACTTAACAAAGCATTTTCCAAACTTATTTGAACACAAAAACTTTACTTCATGTAACACTTCTTAAAATACAACGGAAGCAGCGATCCAGAGAATAAATTTTGAGAAATATAGTACATTAGAGCAGATTATTCATGTTCAAAAATATATAATAATAATGCATCATGTCCTGCACATCCAACTTTTTACTGTTCTTGACCAATAGAGTGTCCAGCTCCTGTTGAGACCGAGATCCTAACCTGTGCAGCTACATTTGTACCTTTAATATCTTTTGAGTTTCTCTATTCTCTTGACTGTCACTACTCTCCTCCCTTTGTCTTATGTAGGATTCAATTTTTGGCTTTGTCTTCTCTGTTCTTCTAATTTGCCTCTCTCAGGAAGTGTATTATTAAATTACCCTCAAAAAAGTCTGACCAGGTTATCTGGGTTCCTAGGACCCTCCTATCTGAAAAATAACCCATTGGTGGCAGGCCCATCAGCTGCTTCCTCCTATCTTCTACCTCTACCCTTCAAATGCCAGACTCACCAGACTGACCTGAGAGCAGAGAACTTTGGGAGCAAGTTTCATCTTCTTTACCCAACATAAAATACTCTAATCACTTAAGGGAATTTTAATGATTGATTATCATGTTCGTAGTTTCTAACATTGACTAGCCTAAACTCCAATAGAGAATAGTAGAATGTTCCATTATAGCTACAACCATTATTAGTAGGCTTTTATGAAAAAATAAGGAATTTAGTTACAAAAATAACTAATAAGTGAAATTACCCCTACCAAACCAAGTGATAAATCACAATGGTCTTTGTTGTTGGTAATATTGTTAGTGTATTTCTGGTGCACAATACCCAGAAATAAATAAGAATGAGTAAAATTGCACAAGCACACAAGTGCACACAGGTATCATATACTTCAAATTCAAATGGCAAGGAAGATATATTATTACAAGAAATAGCAAGTGCAGAATATTGGCTTCTGCAGTAAAAGCACATTACCTTTCTTACTCAGAATTTCATTTCAAACTTTTTATCAAGTTCCTTTAAGAGAAAATGAGATTTAAATTTGCAGTTGACAAACTAAAAAGGGTATTTTAAAATCTTATTTTGTACCTCATAGAACAGGAGAAGTTTGATTTTTGAACACCAAAAAAACAAGCAAGAAAAGAAAAACTGTTGGCTGCAAGCAACAACATTGCACTTTCTGAGGTTTCAGTTACCCGCAGTCAACTGAGGTCTGAAAATATTAAATGGAAAATTCCAAAAATAAACAATTTATAAATTTTAAATTACACAGCATTCTGAGTAGCATGATGAAATCACATGCCAGTCCTCTTCATTCTGCTTGAGACAGGAATCATCCAGTGTATCCACACGATATTTACTACCTGTCCATTGGTCACTTAATAGGCATCTCTCCTAACAGATCTTCTGTCATGGTATCTCAGTGCTTGTGTTCAAGTAACCCTTCTTTTACTTAATAATGTCCCCAAGGTGCAAGAGTAGTGATGCTGGCAATTTAAATATGCTGAAGTGACATCATAAAGTGCTTCATCTAAGTAAAAGGTGAGATTTTTTGACTTAAGGAAAGAAAGAAAAATCATATACCGAGGTTGCTAAGATCTACAGTAAGAATGAATCTTCTGTGAAACTAGGAAGAAGGAAGAAGAAATTTGTGCTAGTTTTGTTCTTGCACCTCTAACTGCAAAAGCTAAGGCCACAGTCATTCATCTCACTTCATCTTAGCACATAAGCATTTTATCATTTTACATCATCGCAGGAAGTGAAAGGGTAAGTGCAGTATAATATTTAATCCCAAATATCTTTCAGAGATATTTAGAAACAGAGACCACAATCACATAACTTTTATTCTGGTATATTAATTGTTGTATTTTAATATGTTATTTTTAATCTCTTACTGTACCTAATTTATAAATTAAACTTTATCCTAGGTATGCATCATTTATAGGAAAAAACATAGTGTGTGTGTGTGTGTGTGTGTATATATATATATATATATATAGGGTTCAGTACTATCGGTGGTTTCAGGCACCCACTGAGGGTCTTGGAATGTATCCCCCTTGAATAAGGAGTGACTACTATACATGCTAGATTTGGCCATTTGAATTATATAACATTTTCTTTTCCTTTGGGACTTCATCCCCTTTCTATTCTATTACAGCTACATCTTTAAAATATACTTAAAATCTTCAGTGGCATTACACATACAAGGAGTTGAGATCCAAACTATTTGGCATGGCAATAATGTGTGTCATAATATTAACATCCAGCTATATGAGCCACAACTTGGCAAGTCCCGTTCCCCACCACGACCTCGTTCCTGTGTCAAGCTGAATGTATTCCTGAAATGCCATTCATCACTTTACAATTTGTTTTCCTGTCCCCATAACGGGAATTTAGGCTTTTCAATACTGGAGTTAGGTACACCTTACACAGGTCCTAAATAATCACTCAATGATGTGTATGTATAATGAGCAAAAGTTTAAATGAAGATAATCATTTAGCTCATACTTTCTACAGGAATACTGTTTCCTAAGAATACTGACTGGGTTCAAACACTAAAAATAAAGTATAAAATCTCTTATATCCCTTTCAGAGAAATGATATCAGTTTTGTTTTTCATAACAAACACGTTCTTCCATGTTAATGAAACAGCATTGCACAGTGGTTGCAAGGATGAACTTGGGAGCCAGATTGCCTGACTTCACACCTTGGCTTCATCATTTGCCACCTGTATGATCTCAGATAAGTTACTTAACTTCTCTTCACCTCAGCATGTCATCTGTAAAAGAAGACTATTAACAGCACTTACATTATGGGTTGTTCTAAATATTAAATAAGCCAACGTGTAAAGCGCTTAGGACAGTACTTAGCATGTAGAAAGCATGATTTATGAGTTAGCTACTAGTGTCACTATCATCCACATTAAACATGTTCTAGTTCACCACCCATTATACTGTGTAGAATCAAATTACCCTGGATAGTGCTAGGTCATTCTCTAAAGTTATCATATTTGCAATATCAGGGAATTCTCATGAAGTCTTTTTTAAACTACTTCTCATGGTGCTAACACTGGCCATGCAAAGTATACCTAAAAGAGTGTGTTAGTAAAAACACTTCCAAAGCTTCTATTTTCAAATCAATGTCAGGGAAGTAAATCTTCTGCGTAGATTCTAAATGACAGGATGCTCCTTTACTGGGCACACAGGAAGATGTCAGATAGTTACTACTCCACTTCCTCATAAACAGTCTATCCATCCCTTTTTTATGTTTGCTCCAATTCCCATCAATCTGCCATACTTTCTGTCAAGTTACATAAAGCAGAATATAGTTGCCTTATTATAGACTTGCTACAACCCTGATAGGAGCTCTAATCCAATGCATCCTTATGTGATGAACAAAGTAACACTGGATTTAACACTGTCAGCTCACGCTAAGAACATATATCAATATATCTAGATGATACAGGTTGAGTATCCCTTATCCAAAATGCTTGGGATCAGAAGTGTTTCCAATTTCAGATTTTGGGGGGATTTTAGAGCATTTACATATACATAATGAAATATATTTTCTAGGATTTTGGAATATTTACACATACATAATTATCTTGGGATGGGGATGAATATTTATACATACATAATGAAATATCAAGTCTAAACATAAAATTCATTTATGTTTTATATACACCTTATACATGTAATCTGAAGGTAATTTTACATAAGATTTTCAATAACTTTTTGGATTAAAAAAGTTTGTGTACATTGAACTATCACAAAGCAAAGTGTCACTATCTCAACCACTCTTGGGGACAATCTGTGGTTGTTTGGCACCATCATCATTCCTGACTGAATTTATACGCTACCCATAAGTAATTTTCTTAAATTATTCACACATAAGTACTTAACAGTAAAAAATACAACATATCATTAATAAAGTGAAAAAATAATGGGTTCAGTGTAACTTGTGGCATCATGTCAGTACTCAAAAAGTTTCAGATTTTGGGGCATTAGAGATTTCAGATTTTCTAATTAGAAATGTTCAACCTGGGCCGGGCACGGTGGCTCACTTCTGTAATCCCAGCACTTTGGGAGGCCGAAGTGGAAGGATCATGAGGTCAGGAGTTCGAGACCAGCCTGGCCAACATGGTGAAACCCAGTCTCTACTAAAAATGCAAAAATTGGCCAGGTGTGGTGGCGCACCTATATTCCCAGCTACTCAGGAGGCTGAGGCAGGAGAGTCACTTGAACCTGGGAGGTGGAGGTTGCAGGGAGCCGAGATTGCACCACTGTACTCCAGCCTGGGCAACAGAGTGAGACTCCACCTCAAAAAAAAAAAAGAAAGAAAGAAATGTTCAACCTGTTAAAAGCTGCATTTCACTTCATAGTATCTCCTAGTAACGCTCATTTAGGATTGCAGATTCATAAGCTTGTTCAATTAATGATTTTTGCATTTTTTCTAAATTAACTCTCCTTCTCACACTAATATTATAATTCAATTAAAGTAAGCCATCAAGTTTTCTTAGCATAATTTGCTCTTTATAAACCCCCTGCCATTTTCTTCCCATTTTCATTGTTTCAATAGGCCAACTGCTGAAATGAAGCTGCGAATAAGGAGAATATGTTTTCTCAACATCCTATATCTGTTTGCCATAACAAATTACCATAAAGCGAGTGGGTTAAGCAACAGAAATATACTGTCTCACAGTTCTGAAGGCTAGAAGTCTAAAATCAAGGTGTCAGCATGGTTGGTCCTTTCTGAGCACTATGAGGGAAAATTTTCCATTCCTATCACCTAGCTTCTGGTGGTTTGATGGCAATCTTTGGCATTCCTTGGTTTGCGGCTGCATCATCCTGATCTGTGCCTTCATCTTCTCATGGCATTCTCGCTGTCGGCATGCCTCTGTATCCAAATTTTCCCTCCTTATAAGGAGACCAGTCATACTGGATTCAGGGCCCACCCTACTCCAGTACAACCTCATCTTAAGTAATTATATCTTCCACAACTCTGTTTCCAAATGAGGTCACATTCTGAGGTACTGGGGGTTAGGACTTCAACATATGAATTTTGGGGGAACAGGACTCAACCCATAACACATCCCAAATTAACAGTGCTCTTGGAGACATGTCATTTTAAGAAGATCCTTTGACCAAACATTCTTTCTGCACAGAACAGATGGATCCTGCAGAAAGCCTACTAGATTCCTTGACTAGAACCTACTGGTTGGCTCAAAGTCATACTTGTGACCCAAAACTCAAGGTTTGTTCAGATTTCCCACACAGTGGGAAACAAAGCAGCAGTGGGGTCCTTCTTCTCTTACTTTCTGTACTTCATTTGTGATTCTCAGAGAATTTGCAATGAACAAGAAGCAATGCTTAGATAATGCTTTCTAGCTTAGAAGTCACATGTGGTATCTCATACAACCCTCATAAATAACGATCTGGAAGACAGAAGATTATGTCAGAAATTATTATAAAGTCATCATGGATGGCTTTGCAGGCTCTGGGGCCCGAATATATTGATATGGATCCAGATCCCTTTCTTTCTAGCTGTTTGACTGTGAACAATTTGCATGCCTTGGGTGGGTACAAAAGCGGGGCAAGTAAGAATATTCATCACATAAACTAGCTGTAACAATAATGTATTACAGGCAAATCATTTAAAATAGTATCTGGTACATAGTCAGTGCTCAGAAAAATTAAAGCTATTATTTTATAAATGATGATACTGAAGCTAGGGATATAAAATAACTTCTCCAAGATAATGCAGGTGGTCATTGGTGAGACCCGAACTCAACCCCAGAACTCCTGAGGACTTTTCATGTCATCAGACAGCATTCCAGCAATATCCCATTTTTAATGTACATAAGTATCACGCTTTGAAGTAACAGAGACATTTGGGGACTCTGCCATAGGCATAAGAGTAGAGTACCAAACAGTACTGTTTGGTGTGGTTTAGCTCTATGTCCTCACCCAAATCTCACCTTGAATTGTAATAATCCCCATGTGTCAAGGGCAGGATCAGGTGGAGATAATTGAATCATGGGGGGCGGTTTCTGCCATGTTGTTCTCGTGATAGTGAGTGAGTTCTCAGAAGATCTGATGGTTCCATAAGGGGCTTCCCCTTCACTCAGCACTCATTTTCTCTCCTGCTGCTCTGTGAAGAAGTGCCTTCTGCCATGATTGTAAGTTTCCTGAAGCCTCCCAGCCATGCGGAGTTGTGAGTCAATTAAACCTCTTTTCTTTTTAAATTACCCGGTTTCGGGTATTTCTTCACAGCAGCATGAGAATGAACAAATACACTGTTGAATGCTCAAGATACTCCAACTGCAGGACTTCCTGTTCAGAGAACTGGACTTAGGGAAGGAAAGTCCTTGCAGAATCCCTCAGGCACCTCTGCATAATGTTCTGAAATAGCTGGTCTGGCTGGACCAAGAAAGGCTAAGGAATTGCTGGCCTTGGACTTTAAAAAAGTTCTATTTTTATTATTTTTTTTTTTTGTCAAGCCCCACATGAATCTCCTAGTGCAGTCAAGAGAACTACTACTAGTATTATTAGTGTTATTTTTTTTTTTTTTGAGACGGAGTTTCGCTCTTGTTACCCATGATGGAGTGCAGTGGCACGATTTCGGCTCACTGCAACCCCTGCCTTCCAGTTCCAAGTGATTCTCCTGCCTCAGCCTCCTTAGTAGCTGGGATTACAGGCGCCCGCCACCGCGTCTGGCTAATTTTTGTATTTTTAGTAAAGACGGGGTTTTACCACATTGGTCAGGCTGGTCTCGAACTCCTGACCTCATGATCTGCCCGCCTCTGCCTCCCAAAGTGCTGGGATTACAGGTGTGAGCTACTGCACCCAGCCAGTATTATTGTTATTATTCCTTGAACTGGATGAGCTATTTTATGTCTCTGGGCAATATACCATTCTCTCTTACCAATTTCATATTCTTGTTCTGCTCATGTTTAGGAATTACTTGTAGTTTGTATTTTCAAATCTTTTGAGAAACCTTCTATCACCTCCCAATACGACATAGATGAACTCTCTCCATCATACTATTTGTGGGCTATATCATAATCACTGGTTTCCTGCTCTCTATTTCCCACTACATTAAGGATACCTTATTTGTTTTGGTCTCTGAAGTACCTAGCACACAGCCTGGTATATAAATATTTAATAACTAATTGGAAGACTAATAGGAAGATTGAATAGATGAATAAAAAATTACAATAAAGAATAAAAGAAAAAAAGAAACAAGACCTCAGAGTCTTAGAATCCAACCATTAGGCACATTGTTTTTTTTTTTTTGAGACGGAATCGCTCTGTTGCCCAAGCTGGAGTGCAGTGGCGCAATCTCTGGTCACTGCAAGCTCCGCCTCCTGGGTTCACGCCATTCTCCTGCCTCAGCCTCCCAAGTAGCTGGGACTACAGGCGCCCACCACCACGCCCAGCTAATTTTTTTGTATTTTTACTAGAGACAGGGTTTCACCATGTAAGCCAGGGTGGTCTCAATCTCCTGACTTCGTGATCCACCCACCTCGGCCTCCCAAAGTGTTGGAATTACAGGCGTGAGCCACCACGCCTGGCCAGGCACATTATTATTTAACTTGACTTCTGAAGAGAGAAAAGGAAAACTGAATAAGTGATGAGAAGAGGTGTGACTTTGTGTGTGATATTAACCAGTTAATGAAGCTCCACGTTGTTCTGCCTGGATCCGTAAAAATAAAAAAGAAAATTTCACCACCAGCCATCTAGCCTGATTTGCATGTGTTCAAATCTTCAAAGTATTTCTTTTGATTCCTTTAATCAATAGCTATTTTAGAAAGCTCTTCATTACTTCCTAATTGTCCAAATTCATTTTCTTCATTTTTCCTTATTAGAGGCAGATTTTTCAAATGAGTTAAGCAGATCAGCAATTTTAGAATCATTATTAACTTCAAGCACTTATCTCAGTTATTAGCATGGCCCTTCTCTCTCTAGGACTAGAGTCTTTTCTCCATTTTTAAAAGGCCATCCGGTTTATTTTCCAGACTTCTTTTTTCTATGTATCTCAAATAAAGTCAAGTTTACCCAATAATAAGAGCAATCCATGTTTACAATAATCCTGACCCTAGATAATTTAATGTGACACATCCCTGGATTTGGATGAAGATGCAGTGATTCCTCATTATATTAGCATATTAAAAATAAGTAAATAATTGGGATTTACCTAGATTTTAATCCATCCCAACCAAATAAACTAGTAAAGCCATTACCATGGTCCATAAAACATCTTACAAATAATTTAAAGGAATATTTTGATGCTTAAGTGCAGCATATTAAAATGAAAAATACACATATGCATTCACACTAACAATCCCACTGCTAGAAATTTGTCTCACAAAATGTAAAACACCACATTATTGCAACATTGATTATTGTGCGAAAAAACTGAAAACAAAATACATATCCATCAATAAATAGGTGGTCAAAAATCTGTGGTACATTGATATGAAATGTGCATCTGTTTGTATATGATTACATAGGCTCAGAGAAAGATACAAGAGTGTTCAACAGGTTGGTTACTGGGCATAGGAGAAGTTTGAGGGGAAAAGAAGGGAAGAAAAGGGAAGGTAAGAAAAAAAACATGAACATTCATGACAAAACAGTATATAGGATATGAACTAATTTATGTAATATTTTATGTGTGTATGAATATAAATGGGCATAAAAGGATGACCACCACAGTTATCTGAAAGTGATAGGACTGTACATTTTTACTGTCTTTTATTGCATATAATAGGCTTTTTCATAATTTAAAATTGTTTGATTTAAATTATTTTTATTGCCTCAATTATTATTTATATGATTTGAAACACAAAATTAAAATTATTCTCATTGTGATTATATATACTATGTGTGTGTGTGTATATATATATACACACATAAATACACATACACACACACAGACATACACATATATATATATATATACAGAGAGAGAGAACGAGACCAGACCGAGGATTATGTACTCATATATCAGAACTCAAATCCAGCCACTGAAATAAGAGCTAGGTTATAGGCAGTACCACCAGACTATAATCAACTTGTTTGATAGACTACATATTCTAACAACTATAATAATTTTTTAAAGTCTTTGCTGATTTTAATTTTTAATTTTCTTTCAAGATTCAACTAATGTCATTTCTTAACTCGGTTCCTCACTTGTTTCCCAAATGTTTGAATGATTTCCTAAGAAGTCTTCAAAATTCATTCATAAAAACCTCTGAAATTTACATACTTTTTGATATCTCATTTTGACAGGTGAAATGCAATACCATGTAGGAAATGTCTGAATTCCTATTGTTGTAATATATCCCTCAGAATGTATCACCAATTTCTTTTGTATATCATCGATTTCTTTTTAAATTCAATAGGAGAGCTACACTAAAAGAAGAAATATTGCCAAAATCTAAAGGTAAACACACTTGGGCAACAACAATATGCAAAATGCAATGCAGAGTCCTGAAAGGTGTTTTGTATCATTGGTCTTCTCTCATGACTTCCGGAATTTTAGGGTATACAAACAAACTTGGGGAAAAGAAACACTAATATGTCTCGAATAATCTAGTATTTTCACCAACCCAAAACTGAAAAATAAGAATACTAGCTACCTGAATTTCAAAAAACATTTTAATTACTTTGGTACACAAAGTGTTAAGAAATGGAATAATGAAAATATCTGACTACTAGTGTAGGAAATAAAGAATAAATAAATCCAGGTATAATTTCTAGGCCTTTATCATTACCATATGCCTCTTTAATTACCTTTCCCCTCCAGGACTTGATATTTTGCAAGATGTGCTCTACCAAAACAAATGAATTTATAAAGTAATAATTAATTTTTTAAAGTCCTAATGAATCAGTGATATGTGTAATTGCCCATTACAGCTATTGATCAAGATAAGGGAACCAGTGTTGCACATGTAGTTGAAATACTTTATTTAAAGGCAAACAATTTGTTAACATGGATCAATGTATGATTTTTGTTAGCTTCTTAAAAATAATGAAAATAGTGGAAAGTATACCTTAGAGCTCAAAGCATCCACTAACCTCTTTCAGAATCAGTATTCCATAGTCAAAGAATAAATTGAGGTTAAAAATCAGCTTTATTTTAATTCACAATTTTGTTTAAAAAAAAAAAGCAAAAACTAGCAAGCAACCCAAAGAGATTATCAGGATTAATTTAGAAGAATAGCTCTGAGGTCACCATGGAAAACCTGAGTCTTAACCTTATGCCAAGGGCAGAGGAGACAAATGGACATGAGTGATGAGCTCTCAGCAACCTTCCAATTTCACTTACAAAGATTCAAGTAATGGATACGAGAAAGCAAACATGTCAGCAGAAGATAATGAAAGCAATATTTTGGTTAGCTTTTCGTATCTATTTCTTTAACTTCTATAAGATAGGTTTTATTTTGTTTTTCCTGCTCTGAAAAGATAAATACAGATGTATTCTCATTCTCTGGAGACTAGAATCTGATGAGTAAGTCAAAACAAAGCCTTTTGAAATCACCCAGTCTTATGACAGATGCAGTAAAGGATAAATTATTGGCCATCCGGGAAACTTCCTGCACAAGAAACACCTTAAATGTACCTGTCCACAATTGACAGTTGATAAAGTTCCAACCTTGAAAACTAGGTTATGAAGTATTGGAACTTTGATAATCATGCAAGTTTCAGGTATTTTGTTTTTGTTTTTTAAATAAATGGCATGAACGTAGTAAATCTACTAATAAGTTAGTTTACTTATAAATTTACTAATAAATTTATTGTTAATAAATTCATTGAATTTATTAACAACAACTTCATGTTAATTATATTTTGTGCATTCACATACCACAGAGATCTCAGAGAAACCGTACCAGCAATTTCAAACTATGGCTCCATGAAGGATCTAACATCTGAGGTCAGAATGAGGTTTACTTATTATTAAGCTTCCATTTCCTTTACAAAATGAAGTGTTTTGTACTTACTGCTCCCCTTTGAACTCTAATGGTGAATCGTTAAAACTAAACTACAAAGCATATTTTGTGATGCCTGATTACACTATAAGCTAGAGGTTTTCCTCAGTGGCTAATTTTAAATGCTCACCAACCCCGCCAAGGACCTAACCATTAGTCTGAATTGACAAATTTGGCTGGCCCCTAAAAGCAAAGCAAACAGCACCAAATCATAATAAAATTGTCTTGTTGGTGACTCACTGTTATTGACAGTGGGGTCCATGAAATCCCTCTGAACACTGGCACTACTGGCCTTCACCATCTGAGCATTTTCTTCCATTGAAACAAGTTCCCACTGCAGCGATAGCTAAAAGAAGGTTGAATGAGGAGTGGGGAGAATAGAGTTGAGAGAAAGAAAAAAAATCATCACTATAGGCACCAATCTAGAAATTTCCACCAACACTTCCACAGCAAGGTTAAACAATGTTTTCATTATGAGTTAAGGCCTTACTGTCTAAAACCTTGCAGAACTCTGTGCGGAAGCAACTGTATCACCTCCAAGCTTGTAAAAATGCAGAACTCAGGCCCACCCCAGACCTAATATGGAGTCCATATTTTAACAAGATTCCAGATGATCTGTATTCACATTCAAATTTCAGAAATATTGGTCTAAAAAAATTCTATGTATAATAATGTGTAGTCAAAACAATCTAAAAATCAAACAAAAAATGCTAATAAGGACTAATAGGTGTCATACAACAATATAAAGAATTCATCTCGGCCGGGCGCGGTGGCTCACGCCTGTAATCCCAGCACTTTGGGAGGCCGAGGTGGGCGGATCACGAGGTCAGGAGATCGAGACCATCCTGGCTAACACGGTGAAACCCCGTCTCTACTAAAAATACAAAAAATTAGCCGGGCGTGGTAGCGGGCGCCTGTAGTCCCAGCTACTCGGGAGGCTGAGGCAGGAGAATGGCGTGAACCCGGGAAGCGGAGCTTGCAGTGAGCCGAGATCGCGCCACTGCACTCCAGCCTGGGCAACAGAGCGAGACTCCGTCTCAAAAAAAAAAAAAAAAAAGAATTCATCTCATAGTCATTAATTTCCAGGAGTTTATAACATAGTTAAGATGACATCATGGGAAGATGTTTTCACTGAGGTTTAACCAGTTTAAGCTAATAACACCGTGAACAGATGTTTTCAATAAGCTTAAAGCAGTGGCCGTGGCCTAGCACTGCATGCAAATACACAGTGACCCTTGGTGCACCCCTCACCACTAAACCTGCTTAACATGGGAAGCCTGTGATAACTTCACTAAGATGTTTCAAGGGCAGAAAGCACACTGGGGAAGGAAACAGGACGCCAACAAACTCCCCAAGGTACAGAATAGCAAGAGAGATGAATTGTTGTGCTGTGGTGCTGCATTGATTGCAACACACTGAAGCATTTTAAGTGACTTTGCAATAACCATAAATACATAATATAGGTAAAGGAGTTTGCTAAACTGAACCATTTCTCCTGGTGTGAATAAACTATATAATGCCACTAGTTCTGCTACTTGAGTGCTGTCAAACACACTCCAAAGGTTCTGAAATACTCTCACCAGAGGTTTGTTAAAGGATTGCATACCTCATCTTAAAAAGTAAACTGCCTCCAGTGTTCTGCAATTAATCATGACAAGCGTAAGTTGAGAAATCCCATTTAGATTTAGTACGATGATTTCCCTCCAGACTTTTGAATCAACTGTGGATTACAAATTTGATGATATGGGAAAGGGGCAAACAGAAAAAGGAGATGGAAGTCAAGGTGTAAACTGTCTGGTTTTAAATCAACTGTCTTTTAAATAAAGAGAGAATATAAAGCAGCACTTTCATGGGTCCTGCGTTGTGACCTATCATTAGAAACACTTAACAGAAAAGTTTTTTGTGCATTTTTGCACATCATGTGTGAATTTTCAGTTCAAAGAGATGCTCTGAATCTGCAGTGATACTAAAGATGCGGAAAAACTTGACAAGTATGATTGAAGTCAAAAACAAAGTGAAATCATTCCTTCTCGTAACAGAGTTAGACAAGAAGAATTATAATTTACAGTGTAGGCATCCCAGTTCATCATCCCACTGGTTCCAAACAGGGCAGCACCAGTAGACAGGCTGCTGCTCCATGTTGTACACCTGTCCATAGATGGTGTAGTACCGGGCCTAACAAATACAGGGATCTAAATTAGGGAGATATAGTGCTCCCTCTTAAGGCAGAGCTATCTCAAATCCATTAGAAATTTCTCTCTCCAATTCAAATCCTGCCATATATATTTGTGTTTATAGACAGAGAGATAGGTGTATGTGTATATATAGATAAATGTACCAATGTGCATATAGTGTATAATTTGTACATATTATACACACACACACACATACATACCTCACTCCATATGCAATTCAGATTCATTATAGGTATAGGTTAATGAAAACCAAGAGGGACCCCCATATCCCATGGTATAAAATATCCTAAGGATTGCTCAAGCTATCAAGAATAAAACCCAAAATTATGATAAGAATAATGAAATCTTGAAAGATAATGAGGTACATGCTTTTCAATTTGATATTGAAAGCTCCTCATAGGTTGGCTCCACTACGGCATGCACTCTCAACCGTATTAATATCACCCACAAGAAGGTGACAATTAGTTATTGTTATGAGTGGGGGATGAAAAGAATCTTAGTTGATACAATGGTGTGTGACCTTACAAAGGAACACAGTACATAAATGGATATAAAGAATATGTGTAATGTTAAAATTTCATGGTGCAGAAGGAAGCTTCAGGGAAAAAAATTGTTTAAAAAGGCTCTTTAGGGGGGAATACTAAACCAAAGTTTGAAAACACTGAGTTATTTTTGCTGACCTATCAGCAGATCATAATACCAAATATCTCCAGACAGGCTGATTTCCTTTCTGTCAAGTTGATGTCATTTTTAAATTTTTTTTTATTCCAAAAGTACTAACATATTCTCTCCCTTTCATATGCCACCCCTATATTTCTAGTCCAAATTGCTTTCATTATTCAAGGTCAATTTCAAGTTCCACTTCCTCTAACTTCTCTTTTCCTACCAAGCCAATGTAGATTGCTCTTTCTCTTTTCTCAAAAATTGGACTCACTGGCTGTACCATTTTTATGACAATTATTCACCATCTAGAATTGTAACCTAATATTTTGTTCACGCGTCTCTTCAATCAGGACTTAAGTATAAGTTTGTATACTTACATGCAAACAAAACAGATATGAGCATGGCAAAGATGCTGAACATCTTCAAACACTGCCTCTACTCCAAACTCAGTATCATACACAGAATGTGCAAAACTACTAATCTCTTAAGAATAAAACTATAAAACCTGTTTTACTAATTTATATTTGTTTTCCCAAGTATCTATAAGGTAATGAATTTTATTTGATTCGGTCCATTACCAACAAAGATTAAAACTCATGGGGGGGAGTACAAAAAGTCTAAATAAAAAGCCATTTTCAAAACAAGTACTCTAATGAACACGTCATATACCCTATAAATAGGATTTCCATTCTAATTTCTTTGAAAATAAATTTTTCTGCTACAGCATTATACTATCTAACACATATTGAGTACCTACTGTGTACCAAGCATTGTGCCACGTGTTAAATCTTATCTATGAAGATTTAATCAATTAATCTTCATAATAGCCATGTACAGCATTTTTTTTAACACTACAACTAAGACACAGAGAAATGTAGGAACTTAGCCTAAGGCCACACAGCTGTGAAGAGCCAGGGGAAATTTTCTGATTTAAACACCATTAAAAGTTCTGAGTTGGCCTAGTGTAGTTGCTCATACCTATAACCCCAGCAAAGGCTGGGAGGATCATCTGAAGCCAGGAGTTCGAAATGAGCCTGGACAATATAGCAAGACCCCTGTCTCTACAAAAATAAAAATTAAAAAATTAACTGCGCACAGTGGCACACACCTTTAGTCCCGGCTACTCAGGAAGCTGAGGTGGAAGGATCACTTGAGCCCAGGTGTTTGAGACTGCAGTGAGCTATGATTATGGCACCATACTCCAGCCTGGGTAACAGAGCAAGGCCCTATCTCTAAAAATACCCCACAAAATTCCTGAGTTTAGACGAAAAACAAAAACTATTCATCTAAAGGTTCAACATACACCCCCCCACACACACACAATGCATATGTAAACATCCACAATTATAAATTATTTAGTCTTATATTTTATTTAGTCCTATATTATTAGTGATCCAATATTTTTATACAATGGCAAACCCAGTTATTTATAAATGTCCCCAACTTTGTGTTAGCAATAATAGTAGTAATTATAAATTCTTTGTCAATCTGAAACCACACCTTTTTTTAACATTAAGTATCCTGAATTTTGATCCTTAACCCATCATCAACTATTTGTGTTAAGAGGTTCTTAGATATTTTGTAAAACTATTTCAAAACTTTGAAGGGAAAAAAAAGTCTGCATGAAGCCTTGACGCCTAGAAAGCATTGTGGACACTTGCTTTTTCTCTCCTCTTCTAGCCCGCCGAGTTAATCCTAATTCAAAGGCCATAAAAAAGTTAAAGAAGCTCTAGGTTTCAAAGTGTTACAAGAGTACCAAGGGCAGGTCAGACATTGGTTCACAACTGTAGATCCCCTGGATCCAAGTCGTGCTAAATTTAGCAAACCAACACAATATTCCTTGTTTCTGTCAGTTTTCTGATCTTTAGCTTTCAATGGTACACCATGCCATGAGGTAAAATTAGTGGCATCTAACCCAAAATACCTCAGACATAAATGAGGTCTAAAGTAATAATATATCTTGTCTCTGAAGAAAAATATATAACTCTAAATGTTCTTGGTGGCCACATCTTATGCACATTTACTTAATGAGCATAAAATTTATTGGATGAATATGTAGGTGCATTTGAGGTGTTTGGTGTTGATTTTCAATAATCAAAGAGTACAGAAGCACTCTTACCTTCTTTCATAGCTCACATACCAACTTGAGCCAGTACAGCCTTGTTTGCAGAGCTTGACAATGTGTGTGAATGCCCAAACACATGGGTGTGCAAGTCCAACCACAGTCACTTGCTGTTCTTCACAAACACTTGGCCTTGAATAAAAGAAGAATAGCAATCTAATCAAAATATATACGTTTACATATGGAGCATTGATTTCTCCATTTTCCACAAAAAGCTTGACATGTCATGAAAAATACATAAAGTAAGAAAGAAAAATACAAGCAATACAAAAACAACACCAGGACCAGGAAAAAGAAAAATCAGAATAAATTTTAAAGACCAGAAGAAATTTAGAAGATAGATATAAACATCATAAATTCCCAAAAAGTTAGAAAAATTGAGTTGTAAATTAAGTTCTGAGTGCTTTGGTAGCCAAAATTTTAAAAGAAAAAAAAATTGCAGGATTCTCAGTACTCATGAAGAAAAAGCAAGCCAGTTCATCAAGAGAAGTTAAATTTTTTCTGGAAATTAATTCTGAACAATATTTTCAATCTGCATGTTTAATTGGGTTTCTCGAGTAATTCTTGTTTAAACACAAGTATTTTTCCACCACCATCATTATATTAATATTTCCTTACAGAAAGCTTGTACAGATTTACAGGAATTTAGACCCACTATCTTTAATTTTTCAGTGAGTAAGGCTAACACTAATAGCCTGGAATGCCAGAATTCAATTTTTTTAATAATCTTTTGTGATTTGAGGAATGCTTTACTTAGTGATGAATGATTTACTAGTTCATATGAATTGTTTTACATGTGAAAACAACACTAATTGTAATAGCCAGTTGGGCCAACCACTCATGCTTTTCCTGCATTCAAGATCACTTACGTGCCATGCACGGACCCTGCTAGGAATATAAAAGATGATGCAGACTTTGATGTTCCTGCCTTCAAGAAGCTCACAGTCTGGCATAGTCTCCATATTCATAATCTTCTGAAAACAGAAATGAGCTCTGATTCAGAAGCTCTAGTCATCCCCAAAATAGCTCTGTGAACTTGTCCAGTGACACAATAATAATACCGATAAACGTCTTAGTACTTTTCACACTACATATCTTTTACATCACACTCTGTGACTGCATTCCCTTTTTGTTAACACTGTTTTCTGTGCCTCTAAATCTCACCATCTGATTTCACAACCTAATTCTCACTTCTAGATATATTTCTGAAAGCTGATTGTTTGGACCATTAACCTCACCTAAATTAAGTGAAGTTCAAGTTGAACTTTATTTATGAGTTTGCATAGCACATTTTAATACTTTAGGTAAATACAGTACTGTAATAAAACAAGGAATGTAAAAACTGCTCATAAGACAGGCATCCATAAAATCATCAAGCATTGTACAATGGTCCTAAAGAAAACCATAGCTTTTAAAATTTCCATATTAGATTATCTGTAAACTGATATACCTACACCTTCAATGTGCTATATTTTTTTGTGAGGCAACAGCATTAATTAGAAAGAGCTAACAGCATCTTTGGGTTTTTTGTTGTTGTTGTTGTTTGTTTTTTGTTTTGTCAATCATTTGAATTCTTACACCATATCCAACCTTGAACTCCACATTGCAATCTTCATCTATCCAACCATCCATCCATCCATCCATCCACCCCTACCCATCCATCTATCCATCCAACAAATACTTACTGTATGCCTATGTGTGTAAAGCATTGTGCCAGAAGCTTTCCCCACATGTGATTTGAGTATACATTGTTTACTTAGGAGGTACAGAAAACACTGGTCAGAGAGTGATGAAATTAGACAAAGAAGGAGAATTAGCAAATAAAAGATGCATTATCAAGCCAGCCAACATTGGAGATGTTGGAGGGTGAGGGAACCTGGGCATTTACACATTAATTTCTGTCAGTGATTGGTTAAAAGCTACTTCCTCCCTAGTATTTCAGGCCCAAAGCACAGCAGAGAGAGTCAGCTTCCAGAAACCAAAGTAAGTCCTCAAGCAAAGAAATGCAATGCTGGGAGCTGGAAGCCTGTCAGGTGTGCAGCAGTAAAGGAGAGGGCACCTGGGTGCAGCACTGACGGTTTCAGCTGCGGGTGGTACAAATGAAAGAACTAACACAAGAACAGAAAATCAAACACTGCATGTTCTCACTCATAAGTGGGAGATGAACAATGAGAACACATGGACACAGGGAGGCAAGCATCACACACTGCGGCCTGTCGGGGAGTGTGGGGCTGGGGGAGGAATAGCATTAGGAGAAATACCTAATGTAGGTGATGGGTTGATGGGTGCAGCAAACCACCATGGCACGTGTATATCTATGCAACAAAACTGCATGTTCTGCACATGTACCCCAGAATTTAAAGTATAATTAAGAAAAAAGGAGAAAAAAAGAAAATCCATATTCTCTTTGATTTGACAATCTAAATAGAAGAGAGAGAAAATAAAAAAACACCTAAATAGATATAAAATGTGGCATGCTAAGATGGAAGCAATTAAGGTGCTAGAATAGAGATAAGAGAAGCTTACGTAGATTCATTAATTAGGAAAGTCTCCAGTGAAGAGGTGACACTGTGACCCGAAGGATGAAAAGAAGGCAACCATGGAAGAGCCAGGGATGCTACTCAGACAGAAGGAATAGAATGAGCAGAGGTTCTAAAAAGGGAAAAAAGCTTGGCCTCCTGCAGATCTGAAGGAAGGACAAAGTGGCTGGAATGATGAGATGCTTGGTGTGATAGGAAGGGCCTTCCAGGCCAAGGAGTTTTTATCTTATTCTTAGTGCATAGGAAGCCACAGAGACTTTTAGAGTACTCATTTCTGGACACGTCTCCTATAGCCAGGATCTGGAAATGGATATATTATACTCTCCCTCTCTCTCTTTGATACCAACTGCAGCAAAGCTTTACAAGACTCAGCTGCCACAATACCACCATCCCCTTACTCCCCTTCCTGACTCCCAAAAGACTGCAGTCAGGGAGGGAACAAACCTTGGGCACCAGGATATTTCAGAAAGAATTCGTGTTAACATCCCTCATCGGAATCTCCTATCCTTTGAAGTCCTAAATGCCTCTCTTATTATGAGGGGATATAAACCCTCACCCCTAGCTGTTCCATGACCTATTCCCTATAGGCCACCATTGCATGCATGAGTTAAACTTTTCTCCTATTAATTTGTTTGTTGTCAATTAATTCAAAGGCCCCCAACTATTCAGACCTAAGTTGATACAGGGAAAGTTTTCCCTCCAACACAGAGAAGAACCAGGTTATTATCTCATACCAGTTAAAATGGCTACTAGTAAAAAGTAAAAAACAGAGGCTGGCAAAGTTGCAGAGAAAAAGGAATGCTTATATTCTGTTGCTGGGAGTTTAATTAGTTCATCCATTGTGGAATACAGTGTGGTGATTCCTCAAAGACCTAAAAACAGAAATACAATTTGACCCAGCAATTCCATTACTGGGTATATACCCAAAGGAATACAAATCATTCTATTATAAAGACACATGCATGTGTATGTTCATTGCAACACTATTCACAATAGCAAAGACATGGCATCGACCTAAATGCCCATCAATGATAGACTGAATAAAGAAAATATGGTACATATACATCATGGAATACTATGCAGCCATAAAAAAAGAATGAGATCATGTCCTTTGCAGGAACATGGCTGAAGCTGGAGGCCGTTATCCTTAGCAAACTAATGCAGGAACAGAAAACCAAATACCATATGTTCTCACATACGAATGGGAGCTAAATGATGAGAACACATGGACACATAGCAGGGAAAAACACACACTGGGGATCCCTGGGAATCGGAGGGTGGAGGCTGGGAAGGATGGAGAGGAACAGGAAAAATAACTAATAGGTACTAGGCTAAATATGTGTGATGAAATAATGTGTACAACAAAACCCTATGACACAAGTTTACCTGTATAACAAACAAGCATATATACCCCTGAACTTAAAATAAAAGTTAAAAGAAAAACTGGGTATTACTGATTTCTAATTAGGTAACACAGATGTCAAAGACTATTATCTGGATAATATTGATTCTTCAAAATCAATTAAAATAAAAAAAATCTATCACTCAATATACAGAAAAATCATGTAGTTGTGTGTTTAAAACTTTTGTATACATGTGTACTTAATATGTACTCTTTAATAGGAACATGGATATGTGAACTTGTGTGTACACATACATACACATATTCAAGCTTGTACATTTTGTTGATAAGTCTTTATACTTACCAAATGTTTTTCTCTGCCTTGTTTTGGATCCTGATAAATGCTGGAACATATATATCGGTATACATACATTGGAAAAATTTTGGAATATATATTTTGAAATTTCCCACTAATTATTTTTGGACTTTACTCATTACAATTCTGGCAACTTAATTCTTTACATATTTTGAGGCAATTTTGTTAAGGATTTACAAGTTGATGATTATTGTATATACTTGGTGAATTGCTCTTTTATCATTATGTAATGTTTCTGCTAACGCATTATAACATACTTTGTACTGTTTTATCATAAAATCTATTTGTCTGATATTAACATTTTTATATCCTCTTTCATTTGGTTAGAATTTCTTAGTTATATTTGGTCCTGTTACCTTAAATCTTGCTAGTTTTTTGAGTCAATAGTTGCATTTTTTAAAAATCTAATTTGTTAACTTCCATCTTTTAATAGGTAAACAGAGTTGCACACATTTTCATTACAAGTATAACTGTACCTATTTCATCATCTCATTTTGTAGTTTCTGTTTACTAGCAGTTTGTATTTTTTCTTCTTTCTTATGTCTACTTGATGGAAAATATTTTCTATATTCCATTTTCCAGAAGTTATTTGGACGAGTTCTAAATTATATTTCTAATATTTTACTTTTTTGTATTTTATACCTAAATACATGCTATTTTTTTGATGGAATAGAAAGTTATTCATTGTGATATAATGAAAAACTTGGTCTTTGTCCCATGTTCCTGGCATGGGGCTCCTAAAACCCTTGAAATATCCTGAGTGATATGCTAATGTGGTAACTAATTGTTTGTTACGCTAATGACATATCCCTGTGGTCCCTGGATAGCCTGATGATGGGAGCCATTCACCCGAAAGACCAACCATATGATTAGCAGGTTAGAACTTTACTACCTGACCTCCAGGGAGGGTAAAGGAACTAGAGATTGTGTTCAATCATGTGGCCAGTGATTCAACCAATCTTGCCTATGTAATGAAACCCCAGTAAAAACTCTGGACACTGAGGCTCAGCGGAGCTTGCTGGTTAGTAAACACACTGATGTGCTGGGAGGATGACATGTCCTGACTCCACAAGGAGAGGACACAGAAGCTCTGTCTTCCACTCAGACCTTGCCCTGCACATCTTTTCATTTGGCTGTTCATCAGTATGTGTATCCTTTACAATAAAACTATAATCCCAAATATAATGCATTTCTTAATTCTGTGAGTAATAACAAGTAATAATAAAATATTGATAATGGCAAATTATTAGAATTTTCAAGCTTGAGAAGGTCATGAAAAGCACCAAATTTATTTACAGTTAGTCAGAAGCATGGGTAGCCTGGGCTCCCCCTGAGACTTGCAGTCGTCACCTGAAGTGGGAACAGTCTGGTGGAGGACTGTGCCTTTAATCTATTAGATCTGTGCTAATGCCAGGGTAGTTTGTGTCAGATTTGAATTGCAGTATACCCAGTATATGTCAGACAGTTGTGTTAAAACAGAGTATTCATTAGGTTTATTCCTTTGAACAAGAAAAAAAAATATATAGCATGTTTCATCTACCAAATGACACACTGAGACTTTTTAACAGTCAATAATTAAATCATCAATCTATCTTGCCAAATTCCCTGTTCATCTTTCTTACAATGCACACATCTCATATTTTATTTTATTTATATATATATGTGTGTGTGTGTGTGTGTGTGTGTGTGTGTGTGTCCTTTCATTTATTTCTTTCAGGATTTAACATTTGTTTGATTTTTTAATAATTTTAAATATTTTTATTTCTGCTGGAATTGATAGTCTGATCTATGATTTTGATAACTGCCTTCCTTGGAATTAGTTTTATTTGTTTTGAATTTTGGTTGGCAGGCCCTATCTTGATTGGAAAGTTCCTCACTCTTTCTCTCCTTATCTATCTAGTGTAACGGGATTTTCAGGAGATATTTTCTTGTTGACTTTGTTTTTCTTGTTTGTTTGTGTGTGTGCTTTTTTGTTTGTTTGTTTTATGTTTTTGTTTTTTGGGGTTTTTTTGTTTTTTGTTTTTTGTTTTGAGACAGAGTCTAGCTCTGTCACCCAGGATGGAGTGTAGTGGCACAATCTCGGCTCACTGCAACCTTTATCCCCTGGGTTCAAGTGATTCTCCCACCTCAGCCTCCCAAGTAGCAAGTAGCCGGGAATTACAGGTGTGCACCACCACACCTGGCTAATTTTTATTTTTAGTAGAAACAAGGTTCACCACGTTGGCCAGCCTGGTCTTGAACTGCTGATCTCAGGTGATTTGCCTGCCTCAGTCTCTCAAAGTGCTGGGATTACAGTCGTGAGCCACCATGCCTGGCCGGTTTTTTTGCTGTTGTTTTGTTGTTGTTGTTGTTGTTTTTGATGCAGAGTCTCACTCTGTTGCCCAGGCTAGAGTGCAGTGACACAGTCTCGGCTCACTGCAACCTCTGCCTCCTGGATTCAAGCAGTGATCATGGCTCAGCCTCCTGAGTAGCTGGGATTACAGGCATGTGCCATCATGCCCAGCTAATTTTTGTATTTTCAGTAGAGACAGGGTTTCACCACATTGGCCAGGCTGGTCTTGAACTCCTGACCTCAGGTGATCCACCCACCTCAGCCTCTCAAAGTGCTGATATTACAGGCGTGAGCCACCACGCCCTGCCAAAGCCACTGTGCCTGGCCAATTGACTTTGAATTGTGTCTAGAGACTAGAAATAAAAAGTAAAGGCACTAAACACTCCAAAGAGAGTCACCAAAAAAAGCTGTAAGACATCTCCCCACATGATGTTTTTAAATACTGGAAAACCAGCCTTACTACTATCAACATCCATTTCTCCTTAATTCTTTCTCCCTTTAAAATAAAAGACTTGGGAAAGGAGGAGAGGGAATAAATATGTTGACCTTGAGCCACAGGGCTGCTAGATCAAGCAATCACAGATCCAACCAAAGAAGTGTTAGGCATGTGGACCACTGGCAGGAGTCAAATGGAGAGTGGACTTCCCCTCTCTGTGATGATCCTCAGAGACAGACTGAGTTGAGGCAAATACTTACCCCAAGAAACCTGGCACAGCACCTAAGATAAAGGGCAACAACTTCAGACAAAACCAGACCGAATCCAAGCAACATCAGGCACCATTTCCATCACTAACAAAATTAGTGTCCTTCACCTTCTTCCCTACCTATCTCAACCCAGAAGCAGCTAGGGCTGTTAGAGGAAATAAGAGAAAAAGGGGGCATCTTGGAACCAGACCACAACCAGCCTGTGCCCTCAGTCTTACTGATTCCTTCCAGCTACCAGGGCTCTAGTTCTAGTGTGTGATGGCAGAAAAAAAAAGCCAGATTTTGAAAATATAAGTTTTAAACTATGCTAAAATAAGTTAGTAAGTTTATGTGACTGAAAAACTTTGGAATCTATTAGTGATATGTTGTAAGGATGGAAGAAAAAAAATAAACAGTTCCATGTTATATCCCAGCACAATGAGACTTCTTCTAAGCCAGTATCACTAGTTGACGTATAGTTCCCTCCACTTGGCGTGTGGAGTGCCCAATCCAGAACCAGGTGTCAGCTTCCTGGAATTCAGTGTCCCAAGCACCAGTTGAAGGGAAGCTGAGATGGGTAGGAAGGGACAGTTTCTAGTTTCATGGTGTGAGTTTGGGTTTTTTTGTTTGTTTGCATGTTTGTTTTTGAGACAGGGTCTCATGCTGTCAGCGCTCCCAGGCTGGAGTGCAGTGGTATGATCACGGTTCACACCAGCCTCAACAAGCCAGGCTCAAGAGATCCTCCCACCTCAGCTTCCCATGTAGCTGGGACTACAGGTGCACACCACCACACCCGGCTAATTTTTGTATTTTTTGTAGAGGTAGGGTTTTGCCATGTTGCCCAGGCCGATCTCAGACTTCTGGGCTTAATCAATCCACCTGTGTCAGCCTCCCAAAGTGCTGGGATTACAGGCATGAGCTACTGTAACCAGCCATGAGTTTGGTTTTAAGGCACTATTATGCTTCTCCAACACGTCAAGCCTCACCATTTAAATCAAAGCCTCCTCTGCTTCCAGACCCAGCACTTAGCAAGCCCACACACATCCCAACTCACCACTGCTTGGCATTTCTGAATATTTTCGGTTCAACTAAAGGTCTAATTTTAAATTTTCACACAATAATGTGGTTTTATTATGTTTTAAAAATACTTTATCCGTCTTTAATAGGTATTTTGAGCAGTAAAGCCTCAAAATATGAACTTACAATATCATATTGACCAAAAGTCCTGATGTCCTTTTTATAAACTCTTAAATATCATCTTTTTCCTCCAACCTCCTCTAAAACATTAATGCTTCCCACATCTAGCACAGAGAGGGTATTCAGTAAATAACACCTGAATAAATGAATGTATGACTTTGCCTGAAAAGGGCTCTAGTAATGAACATAACACAAATAACTGAACATATATAAAGCATTTAGCACACAGCTAGCACTTAATAAATGCTTAGGAAATATTAACTATATTTTTTAAACTCATAAGGTCTGAGGCTAGGTTTCTAAAAAAAAAAACAAAAAAAAAACAAAACAAAAATTCTATAGAATTTAACTTCTACACCACTGCGGATTTATAGTGCAGTGAAACAAATGAAAGTAAATAATGTGTCCTTTTTAGAAATCAGAAACTAATATGACACTTCCTAATGAAAACACTAATTAAAATTAATAAAAGACACTATACTGCAGTGGCAGCTATCTGACCCTCTGTCCCCTCAGGTATGGATAAGCTTCTACTCTCCAGGATTATGACATAATTTGAGAACAGGTAACAACTTCTCTGTTCCTTAAGCTATTAGTATTCTACAGTCAACAAACAAAAGTGTGATGATCTGAAGGGTACCTTGAGGTATTAAATCAAAATTCAGGGTTAAAAATGAATCCACCCTTATGTTTCAAAAGTTTATTCCTATATGCGACTTCCCTCTTTGTTCTAATGTGCTAGATCCCACCACAACTGCAAATTAATTTTTTCTGGTCCCTAAATGAATTACACATAACTGTTTCTAAAAATGACTACAGACATGAAAGTCATTTTCACTTAATAACTATTAATCTCATATTTCTTGGTGTCACTTTAGTATGAAATGCAAACAAAAATTATGCTAAACATTGCAAATTTATGGCAAACACCAGGGCTTGATTTATATTATTATAGATGGTTTATCACCAGAAGCAATCTAAACAAAATTCCATCAGCTAGATGTTATAATTTGTATTTATTTCTCCCAGAACTAAATGGTTCTTCAATTTCAGAACTATCATTAATTTCTCATAAATGCAAATCTTTATTTCTTATCTTAATCTACAATGATTTCTCTAAGTCTTCAGATTAGGTTTTACATAAAATATTCAAATAACAATTATAAATGATACTTTGTTTTCCCTGGGCAATCTATTAGCTATGATGCAGAAACTAAAAGGAATGGGTGGTCTATATTGATCAAGGATACAATGGGCTAATACCGTACCCCTCTTTTCTTTTAAATGATCACCTCACAATTCCAAATCAAACCATAAGAAAAACATTTTTAGTGTTTGTGAATATCTTTAAATTGCTTTGCCCACCTCCTTAATTATCTCTTTTATTATATTTTCTTTCAGGATCTCTGAGAAGACCTAAGGCACTGCACTGATCTTAATCAAGAGGTAGCAGCAACTATTTATTCTTCACTTGCTTTTTATTGCCATCTCAAAGCAGAAACACTTGTGAGTCTTCCCCTGCCCACATATACTCGAGAGCAAAGGAGACAAATAACTCTGACCACTCAGACCATGCTCCAGGATCAGACTGCAGCAGATGGTTCTCCTGCTTCTTAGTCCACCATCACCTGACCTCCCAAAGCTCCATAATATCTTTCTGATTTGAGGACTTCACTACCAGAAATTATCCACCATTCAAAACCTTCCAGCCCTCTATCCTCTAAAAATTAGAAGATAGAATAACGGTTTTTACAGAATTCTAACCTAAGCAGCCTTGTGTGCCATTTGTCAGATCTGTCTGGCTAACATCTATTTGGCCTAAGCCATTCATCATCATTTTGTCTTTACTGTTCATCTCTTTAGCTTATCATAGGAAGTCTCTTATGAATATGTTATTGTTTTACAACGGAAAACACTGGTTGATTTGGTTTCTGTGTTTTTATAGTGCTAATGTATGTTCAATATCAAGTCATAGATAATGACACCAAGTAGCTCAGAAACAATGGAAATCAGCCAGGCATGGTGGCTCACACCCATAATCTCAGCATATTGGGAGGCCAAAGTGAGAAGATCACTTGAGGCCAGGAGTTTGAGGGCAGCCTGGGCAACATAGGGAAACTCTATCTCTACAAGAAATTAAAAATTAGCTGGGCCTGGTAGAGTCCACCTGTAGTCCCAGCCATTGCTCGAGCCCAGGAGATTGAGGCTGCAGTGAGCCAAAATTGTGCCACTGTACTCCAGCCCAGGTGGCAGTTTTGTAAGAAACAAAAGAAAGGAAAAGAAAAATAATGGAAATCACACTGCTTTGAAGATACTTTGATGAAGAACTTATTAATTAATTCACAATTCTTTCTGAGACATCTACAATGTATAAGCAATTATATTAGGGGCCTAGAATACAAGGAAATATTATTTTCATATTAACATAAGTTTTGTAAAATTTGAAAATATAAGATATATTTTACTATTTAAGAGGTCTCCCCCTATCAGATTTTATAAGACTTGGGCTCCATAAAACTAGGATTTACTTTACCCCAGAGATGAAAGTCCTGTACACTGAAAACCATAAAACATTGATGAAAAAAATGAGGAAGACACAAATAAGTAGAAAGATATAATGTGCTCATGGATAGGAAGAGTTAGTATTGTCAAAACAACCATACTATCCAAAGCAATCTGCACATTTGATGCAATCCCTATCAAAATTCCAATAACATGTTTCACAGAAACAGAAAAAAAATTGCAAAATTTCTATGGAACCACAAAAGACCCTGAATAGCCAAAGCAATCTTGAGCAAAAAGAACAAAGCCAGAAGCATCACACTACCTGACTTCAAGACATACTTCAAAGCTATAATAATTAAAACATGATGCTACTAGACTAAAAACAGATACATAGACCAATGAACAAAACAGAGAACCCAGAGATAAATCCAAGCATTTACAGTCAATTTATTTTTGACAAAGATGCCAAGAACACATAATGAGGAAAAGACTGTCTCTTTGATAAATGGTGTTGGAAAAGCTGGATATCCACATGTAGAAGAATAAAATTAGACTCTTATAACAGACCAGAAACAAAAATTAACTCAAAAACTTTAAGACTCAAATTAGACTCTTATATCAGACAAGAAACAAAAATTAACTCAAAAACTTTAATACTCAAATGTAAAATCTGAAACCGTAAAACTACTATAAGAAAACATAAGGGAAAAGCTCCGTGACATTGATCTAGGCAATGATTTCTTGGATGAACCCAAAAGCCCAGGCAACAAAAGCCAAGCATAGATAAATGAAATTACATCAAACTAAAAAGTTTCTGGACAACTAAAGAAACAATCAACAGACCGAAAAGAAAACCTACAGGATGGGAGAAAATATTTGCAAACCGCACGTGATAAGGGGTTAATATCCAAAACATGAGGAACTCTAACAACTCAACAGTAGAAAACAAATCAGTTTAAAAATGGGCAAGTGATCTGAATAAACACTTCTCAAAAGAAGACATATAAATGGCTAACAGGTACATGAAAAAATTGTCAATATCACTAATCATGAGAGAAATGCAAATTAAAGCCACAATGAGATAGCACCTCATTCCTATTAGAATGGCTACTATCAAGAAGATGAAAGGTTTTTAAAGTGTTGGAGAGGATGTGGAGAAAAGGTACTCTTGCACACTGTTGCTAGCAATGTAATTTAGTATAGCCTATATGGAAAAAGTCTAGAGGTTCCTCAAAAAGTTAAATATAAAATCAACATATAAGCCGCAATTTCACTTCTGGATGTATATCCAAAAGTACTAAAAGTAGGATTTCATAGCAAAGACTTCGAACCAACCCAAATGTCCAACAATGATAGACTGGATTAAGAAAATGTGGCACAGATACACCATGGAATAATATGCAGCCATAAAAAATGATGAGTTCATGTCCTTTGTAGGGACATGGATGAAATTGGAAATCATCATTCTCAGTAAACTATCGCAAGAACAAAAAACCAAACACCGCATATTCTCACTCATAGGTGGGAATTGAACAATGAGATCACATGGACACAGGAAGGGGAACATCACATTCTGGGGACTGTTGTGGGGTGGGGGGAGGAGGGAGGGATAGCATTGGGAGATATACCTAATGCTAGATGACAAGTTAGTGGGTGCAGCGCACCAGCATGGCACATGTATACATATGTAACTAACCTGCATAATGTGCACATGTACCCTAAAACTTAAAGTATAATAATAAAAGAAAAAAAAAACTTAAAAAAAAAAACAAAAGACTAAAAGTAGGATTTCAAAAAATATTTATACATCCATGTTTATTGCAGCATTATTCATAATAGCCAAGATATGGAATCAACCTATATGTCCATCAGTGGATAAATGGATAAAGAAAATCTAGTATATATACACAATGAAATATTACTAAATATTACTTAGCCTTAAAAAAGAAGAAAATCCTGTCACCTGTGACAACATAGATAAACCTGGAAATAAGTGAAATAAGCCAGGCACAGAAAGACAAATGCTGCATGATTTCATTTACATGTGGAATGTAAACAATTGAACTCATAGTAGAGAGGAGAATGATGGTTACCAGGGGTTAAAGGATTGGGGGTGGGGATCGGAAGATGTTGGTCAAAGGATACAAAATTTTATTTAGATAGGAGGAATAAGTTCAAGAGATCTATTGTACAACAAGGTAACTATAGTAAAAAACAGTGTATTATATTCTTAAAAAATATTATGGTAGATTTTAAGTGTTCTCACCACACCCAAAAAATGAAAAGTCTTTAAGGTAACATATACCTCGATTAGCCCAGTTTACCAACATTCCACAATGTATACATATTTCAAAACACGTTGTACTTTTATTAAGAAATAAAACAACTTCAATTAAGAAGTAAATCCAAAAAAATTCAAAAGTTAAAAAAAAAAAAACACTGTGCTGGAATTAACCCTTAATGTCCAAGAAAAAATTGTACAACTATAGACTAGGTGTCACATGATCCATTAATTTACTAATTGGACATAATTGGCACCAAAGTGTACCCAAATAAATCTCTGACATAAAGTCTTATTTTAAAAAGGCATGCTAAAGTCACCCTGCCTTTAATGTTTTAATGTCTGGGTCAGATAAACTTCTTTCCAGGAACTTGGATGTCTTCTGTAAAATCTTCCTTGTACAGATGAAAACAGTTCAGCCTTCTTTCATCAAAGATAATTGGCCTCAACATTCAGCATCTTTTCATTTATCAAAATTAAATTAATGTCAGTACTGAGGTATTAAAGTAATATACTCTTAGACTGGGGATATGGAGTGGAAGGAAATAGAGAAGACTGATAATTGTCTTCAGTTACCACGTGACATCACCTTTCCAAGGTCAAAAAGTGTAGGACAAAGATAAGGTAAATTTCAGATAAAGGCTATATAATAGATGTTTTATCCATTGAGAAACTATTCAAATAAGTTATTAGGAAAGCTATTGTATCCCTCCAAGAAAACACTTAAAAACAGAGCATATTTTAAAATTTTCCTCTATTTCAAATGAGAATTCATCCTCCAATATTTTTTTTCCAAATTTACTTTTTCAAAAAGTAATAATAGTTTTTACATAGTAAGGGAATCTCCTAGATCAGTGGTTCTCAAAGTGTGGTTCCTGGACTAGCAGCATCAGCAACACCTGAGAACTTGTTAGAAATGCAAATTTGGGGCCCCACCTTCATGTACTGAATCGGAAACTAGAGATGTAATCCAGCAATCTGGGTTTAACTGGCCCTCCAAGTGATTCTAATACATGCTACAGTTTGAGAACTACACCCTAGAGATCTACTGAAGATAAGCCAGGTCAGAAGCACACACATCCTCCCACTGTGATCATAAATCTGCCCCTGACCACCACATCATCTTACCTGTGTGATCACAACATGTAAAGGGGTTGGGGAGAGGGAGAGGGTAGAGGTGAAAGAGAAGCGACATTAAGCAGAACAGAGAGAAGGGGAAGAAGGCAAGCAGAAACAGAGGAGAGAGAGGAATCAAGAGAATTAGCTGATTTCTATAAATATAAGAATTTTATTTCACTCTAAAAAGATCAACAAAAGCCAGACCCAATTTTGTCTACAGTGGCAGACTCACTGTTGTTAAATTTGCAATTTGTGAATTACCTATTTATTGTAACTGACACAGAGAAAGTCTATAATCATAGCTCAATGTTCCTAATGATTCTCAAACTGATAAGTATCTGATAATCTGAGGAGCTTGACAAATCTACCAATACCCATACCCACCTTCTACCAAAGTTGAACAACCTTTACTCAATGAGTCTACCCAACTCAGAGTCTCAGAGACTGTTGCTACATTCCTGAAACCTGCCTCTAAAGAACATTAGATAAATAATACAATCAGAAACTTTTTTTTTTTTTTGAGACGGAGTCTCATTCTGTTGCCCAGGCTGGAGTGTAGTGGCGCGATCTTGGCTCACTGCAACCTCCGCCTCCCAGGTTCAAGCGATTCTCATGCCTCAGCCTCCCAACTAGCTGGGATTACAGGTGCATCCCACCGCATCTGGCTAATATTTGTAAAATCAGAAACTTTTTAAGTCAAGTTCCCGGTTTACTAGATTATAAATGAGATAAAATATTGAATTAAGGAAAAACAATAATGTCAAAAGGACTATTCCAATGAAAGCTCATTGTAAAAACAGCAAGAAAGAAAAGTCATGTTGCTCAGATTTCAACACACAAATAATATTATGAGAAATACTAGCATGAGAAACTTTGCATAATAGAAGTTACATACAAAATTCTGCTTTTGATTAAAGATGATATTAAGTAGGTAAACATAATATGTAATCATTGGACAATCATTCATTAGAACCTACCCATTATTTAATTCCCATGACTGGACAAACAGCATGACCCTACTTCCACCTCCAAGACTTAATATTAATAATCTCTTTATAAATCTACCTTTCCATACATTGTGTTTCCTGGGGACAAAGGCCATTTCTATTAGTCTTTAATCCACAGTATTCTGCACAGTATCTAATACATGCTTGGTACTTAATAAACATACACTGAATAAAGGAGTATTGTGGTTACTTATCCAACATAGAAGGACATGGCTTTCCTGGGCCACCATGGCTTAGGGACACTGCATGGCATCCCTAGTCAGTTCACATGATAAGAACCATCACTGAAACAGGGCTCCAAGAGTTCTACTGAACTAAGAGTGGTTCATAGGCTCCAAAGAAATAATCAGTAAAAGTATCAGGGGTCACTGGGGAAGGAAGACTTTAATCCTACCCCCTACAATTTCCACCAGACTCTCCAAAACTACCCCAAATAAACATAAGCAGACCAAAGAAGTTCTAGGATAAACATCTTGTCTCCCTTTCCAAACATGCTGCCACCCTACTAACCCTTCATACCTAGATGCTTGGGGGCACCAAGGACAAGCATAAATAAATGCATTCAGTCCTTTTAATACCCACCAAGTTTCAGGAAGAAAGAAACACTGTTGAAGGTTTAATGCTCTATCTACAGATGTTCTTGGTATTTTTTCTCTCTCCCTGCCTCTGTTCCTGGCCTAGCGGTCCACCACCTTCACATCATATCAGATCCTAACCTGCTGCTGTGCTGGAGCGTGAATCTCAAGACACATGCTGATTAACTCAATTTGTTTCCTATTTCTGACCCCATCCAGTCAGCCATCCAAGATCCTCTGTATCAGCCAGCTATCTTGTTCTCTTTTCAGAGGAGCAAATGCCCCCACAATCTTCTCCCCCAGGCACAGAGCAGAAGCCCTCCCCAGCTAATCTCCAGGCTTCCACACTCTGGGGATGACAATGAAGAAAGAGAGAGGCCCCAGACAGCGTGTTCAATCAAGTTCAAAGACAGGCCTTTTCCCCAGGGCCACCTCCAATATTGTAAAAGGGAACAATGATTGCAAACTGGGTCACGCTGCAAAATATGCAACTTTTAAATTGACAAAATATGGTCATAAGCAAATATGTAATACCTACAAAATAAATAAGCATTAAAAAAAACACCAAGAGAACTTGGAACCAAATGCTATCAAGTTTTCTTCTGCATGCAGGATTTCAAATCTTTGCTTGTTTGTTTTATACCTCCTTCATTTATTTTACAAATTTTCCATGGTGAGTTTGCATACTTACATAATTGGGAAAATTATCATTTTAAAAAAATGCATAATTCGGTGGGGCTGAATCTCAAGTTTAGTCTTCAGTTAAGTTAGTCTGAGTCTGAATGGCTGTGAAGATTTTTATCTGGTTTAAAGTTATTAAAAACAAAAAGTGGAAGGAAGCTGATATCATAGAAATACATATTTTTTAAAATCCCACATACTTAACAGCATATGTGATTTGCCCTAGATGCTTATGTATTTCTTAGTATACTCATATTGTCTTCTCTCCAAGTTCAGAGTTGCTCCATAATAGCTGACCCAGTCACTGTAATCTTGAGACATTTTCAAGAATTGGCTGTTGAAAATCAAATTTCTTCCAAATATGCAACCCTCAGTCTTTTTTATTTTTGCACACCCCCCTCCTATGTGGCTTTTTCTCTCTTAGATTGGATACTAAAGTTTTGTGAAGAAGGCAGAGAAGAGAAGTAATGCTTACAAAGCATCTACTATGTGCTAGCACTGTGTTTGGTACTTTAGATATATGATTATGGTTTAACGTATTTAGAAGGGTCCAGAACTCAGGTATAATGCCTCTTAAAGGGAAACTCCCTAAACAGCTAGCTCCTCTATGCTTCTATTCTATTTTTTTAGACAGAAAATCTTGCATATTTCAAGCATGCCTGATTCTATGTCATATGTCTGAGTAATACTAGCAGAAATAATTAATAAAAGGAAGGAAAAAAGAGAGGAAGGGAAGAAGGGAACGAGAGAGAGAGAAAAATAATCTATCATGCCTAGTCTTCCAATACACATACGCACACACACACACAAATATATATATTCACAAACATATATATACATATATATCAAATAAATGCATCAGCTGTGGATGGATTTAATTGTTATTCTGTTCCTTTTTCTAACAACTGTCAGAGATAATGAGAGACTCTACTCAAAGGCCAATTTCAAAGTACAAAAAAAGGATTCCTGGCCACCCTTCTTTTAAGCCAAAAAAAAATAGTGGTACTATAATTTATTTCTTTATGAAATCTACAATTCTTACCCACAGTGATCACAATTTTTTCTGAATTCCCATTTCATTTAGGGCCTAATCTATATCACTTAGCAATCAATTATATGCTATTCCTGGCTTTTCTTGCTCTCTTATTTTCCTGTGTTATAATGCTCCCTTTTCTGTACCAATACAAGGTCTTTGAGGACAGAAGCCACATCTTAGTATCTTCCATTATGTCCGGCTCCTAAACATCCACATAGGTACTGAATAAATTGTTATGTGAACCCTAACCTTAGAAATACTTGTATCCTCTGTAAAGCTACATGGCATGTTGTTTCTTCCACTGTTGCCACGTTGTGTGTCAGCTCTGTGGGCACCAGTCTGTCTGTTCACGATGCTGATAACACCTTAGGGGGAGAGCCAGTGTCCTTTCCATCTCTGCAACCTCCTCAGGGCTTCACAGTGCAACTGGTACATCATAGGTATTTGAAATATATTGGTTATTTTAAATTAAGAATGGAATTCTGATGTATCCCCAAGTGATCTAAGTATAAGCAAGGTTTTCTTTTTTTTCTTTTTCTTTTTTTTTTTTTTTTTTTGAGATGGAGTTTTGCTCTTGTTGCCTAGGCTGGAGTGCAATGGCTCGATCTCGGCTCACTGCAACCTCTGCCTCCCGGGTTCAAGCGATTCTCCTGCTTCAGCCTCCCAAGTAGCTGGGATTACAGGCATGGGCCACAATGCCCAGCTAATTTTGTATTTTTAGTAGAGACGGGGTTTCTCCATGTTGGTCAGGCTTGTCTCGAACTCCTGACCTCAAATGATCCACCCACCTCGGCCTCCCAAAATGCTGGGAGCCACTGCACCCAGCCAGTATAAGCAAGGTTTTCTAAGGACAACGAGAAGGCTAGGAAATTCACTACCTTTTTACATCAGATTTTTAAACATTAATACACACTTTTAAAGGACACATAACTTCATGGAAAAAGCACAGATGTTATAGTCAGAGAGTCCTAGTTGAAATCAAACCTACCACCACTTTCTATGATGAAGATTTATTTTCAGATGTTTACTTTAGCAGCAAAAGTACTTTTGTGATCTTTAAAATTGTAATTACTGAAACAACACATGAATTAAAGATTTAAACAACGTAAGAAGTTATTGAACAAAACTTGAAAAATCTTTCTACTTTGTCCTTCCTTCTGCTCAACCATCTCAAAATAACCACTGTCAGCCATCTAGTGTACTCAACTCTGCTTCTCTTTATCTGCATTTATATCAGTGCAAATATATTTATATATGTATTACCATACTCTTGTGTTTGTTACATAAATAGGCCCATATTATATATATTGTTTTATTATATTTTTAAAATGAATTTTTATCTCATTAATACTCAATTTCTATCTTATGTTTTAATAGCACTAACACTTTCTAGTTACGTGACTTCAAAAATGACAATAAATGCTCCAAGTCTCAGTTTCTTCATCAATAAATTGAAGATGGTGTCTACTTCATAGAGTTGGGGTAAAGATTAAATAAAATAATGTATGCCAATCACCAAAATTGTTGGTGCTGAGTAAAATATAACCATTATTGTGATAGTGGTGGTGGTTGTCGTTACCATCGAGCCATGCAAATTAGATGATGAAATTCCTAGCTTCCTCTCAAGCCTAATCAATAGTTGGATTTTAGGGAATCAAGAAGAGTAACTCCAAAATCCTCAATGTCATAATTCACTGTTTGAAGGAGGACTCTATTCCTCACTTATGAAACTTAAAAAGTCACTGGGACTCCTTGGGAACCTTGGTTTGCTCATGGTGCTCTGTTCCCTAAGGGCTACAGAAATGGAAGCATAAGAAGACATATCTCCCTCCTAATTGCCTTCCAAGGAATCAGTGTGAGTTCAGCTTTTCACATCCGCAGCATTAACCAGAGCCAAATATATAAAGACCTGTTCACAGCAGTAGCTGCCTGACATTAGATTGTGACGAAAAACAATATCCACTGGCTGCTGTAGTCTACAGCTGTTCTCCCTACCACATCTGCCTTCCTGCTACAAGAAACTGTGCACCACACATCTATCAACTCTGTATTTAAGACAGCGTTTCAATGCATTCATTTTAAATCAGATCTGAAATGCTGATCAAAACTGTTTGAAGTTTTCCAGATGCAAGTACATTTATCTACAGCACTTCTGAAAGAAGGAGAAAAGCTCAAAGCCTGTCAAAGTTAATTAGATTCATACAAAAAGCTTAACAGTCCTATGCAATGTTTTTATTCTGTTACACATAAATGTACAATAATTCCGTGAACACTGGGTTTAATTGCTCATAATATTGTAATTAAGGTTACGCTTTGTATGAATATCAACTCATCATTTACTGTGACTACAGTCCTATTTAAATGATGAAGTCAATTTGACAGTGCATTCTTGAAAAGAAAGCCTTTTAAGAGTTTTGCTCTTATGTGTTCTGGAATACTAATGGAGGTTAATTGTCAAAACAAGCCTAATACAGACTTCAGAATTATCTTCACATTTTAGTGATAGAGCAATGTAACCACAGTTCTATGTGGCCTGCTGACCTAATGCCATGAATAACATAATGGCCATTACAAGTCTGCATGTCTGTCTCTGGAAAACCAGAGAGCTCCTTTTTAATATTTACATTTTAAGTGTGCCCTTTAAACAGACACCCTTTAACTACTGTATTTGTGATTCAGATGATCAGATAATTAGATGTAAGATTAGATGCGCCAGAAGAGATGGCTGCCTCAATTAATCTTACAGTCTGTGCCTCTGCAAATCACTGCTTGGTGTGTAAGAGAAAATATCAAATTAAGTTTTCAGAAGCAGGGAAATTTCACGTCTGCAGTCATTTTAATTCCATCTGAGGCAAGGATATAATTTATTACTGTATTCAGAAGTCACATTCCCTTTTTCCAAAACACCAATTTTAATTAGAGAACAGAGCCCCAAAAGAGTAGAAATAGGAAAGAAATAAATAAAAGTCTTCAAGTGTCCCTCAGTGATCACTACGATACTCCTAAAGACAATATCTGTTCTGAAGTCTGTCTTTGCCCTGAGTAAATACTGAAAGACTAGATATAGTGAGGCTTTTCCTTTCACGTGGCCCTCACCACTGGCTTTGTAAAGAGCACTGCGACATCCCTCATCTGGCAAATACTCCAACTGCTTTTCTTCCCTTTGCTATTGGTTTTCAGGTTCAAATTTCACAAATCACTATGTCTTCACAAATGATCTGGTAATTGGTCTCATAAACTACAAGAAGATCCAAAAAATCTCATATTGCCAACTATATGTACTTTTTATAAACAGAATTTTTAACAGAATAGAAACATGAAATAAAAATAGATCTATAAACTAGAAAACAGATGGCAACAAAAGATACCAGTAATTATCCCTAGGTGCTATTAAGAGGGAAGTGCAAAATAACTAGCCCATTTTGGATTCTTTTAAGATTTCTGAAAGCTACAGTGCAGGGGTAAAATAAAGACTTACAGCTTCTACTTAAGTCACTGGGTCTTTAAAGAAAGGGGGTGGGTGGAGCTGCGTTTAAGTATTCTAGTTCACAACTCCTAGATGTGAAATCAGATGCTTGAATCCTATGCCAAGACATTACCATGAGAAATCGGACCCCAAGTTGGGGTTAAGTTAATTTAAAAAGTCACCATATTTACTTGTTCAACAAATAATTATGAAATACAAGAAAGCTTTCAAAAAGAAAGAAGCATCTGCAAAGTAATTCCTAGGGGTAAGGAATCTCAATAAATAACAAGAAAGGAGGAATAGCTTGTCATAAACTTATTTAATATTCGTCTGATCTCCGAATACAAGGGTGACAACACATGGAGACATGCTAAGATCTTCAAGAAAACCCAAAAGACAAATCTGTTCATATCAAACCGGAACCAGCATTAATAGGCTTGACCCCATTTATTACCTGATATACAACTAGAGTATGTTTTGCATATTTGTATCTAAGATTCACTTCTGCAGGACGGACAGCCCAACCCCTTATTTTTCCCCTTTCAGTCCTCACAATAGTTATGGTCTAAATATGTGCTAAGGATTTCATACATATGGATAGATTCTATTACCCAAACTGGATGGTAAGCATTTTAAGGGCCGGGGGATATCTTTTGCGTGTTTTTATTTACCTTCATTACTTTACCTTGCACAGAACCAGGCACAAAGCAGGGACTGAACTGAGGAGATGAAAGGAAGGATGTGAAGGCAGAAAGAAAAACAGTCATAAGAGAAGCAAGCTTTGATTCCAAGGAGTTGCTTCACAATATCCTTTTCCTTCTCTCCAGTTTTTGTCAATGGCCTCAATATTCAACCAATCATTCTATTGTCTTTGTGTTACCTCTGATTCTCCCTCTACACCCACCCAGGTCTTTCATCACTAGTTATCTCTCATAATTCCCTTCTTTTCTTAGTTTCCTTAGCAGCTTACTTCATTTTCTTACTGGCTTACCTAGAACAAGCAGTTATTACCTCTTCTCTAAGCTAATTCAGTAGCTCCTAACTGGTCTTTTTGTGTTATCTCCTCCCAAAAGTTTATCTCCTAAAGTTCTAATGGTGTTCTTTCCTCTTCAGAAGCCTTTGTTGACTTTGAGAAAGCACCAAACACACATTATGTATTCCAGCTTATATGTACTACCATGTACGCTTTTCCGTGCCCAGGGTTCCCTTTCCTCCTCCCATCATCATTGGTCAAAAACCTCATATCTCCTTTAAGGCCCAAACCAACTGCCTTCTCTACAGGAAAGCTTTATATGTTCTCCCATAGTCCAAACTCATTTCTGCCTGTTCTTTTCTCTTATAAAAATGCCTGTGTACCTCTCAAGCAGCCCTTACCAGATCTGTTACCATCAAAATCTCTCTGTGGATATTGCAAGCACCTTTTTAAAAATGCGCCACATATTGTTTAACTTTGTACTTCATGCCTTTTTCACAGCAGTTGCTTAGTGAACATTTATTTAATTATACCCATTTGCACTCTGAACTTTATAACACATACTCAGCGCCAACAAATCTCCATAATTTCAGAGAATCATACCATAAGAATTGATTCTAGGAGACCACTGATTTTATCCTTCTAGCTGAAAGCACATAAATATCTCAGTCAGTTAAGAGTCTATCACTCTTTAATACTCTTCTAGATAATAATTCAAAATGTTTTAAACACAATATTTACATTTTATACCTATTTTCCAGCCACCAAACCTAAACAGTTTCATAATCACTTAACTGTTTCCTACAAACATAGCAAACTTACATTTTAATTCCTCTTTTTTTTTAATTCACAATGAGTTCTGCTTGTGTAGGCAGTTCCTCCCATGATTCTTTCACATTTTGATGTGTATTAGCACTTCCACTCTTCCATTGTCCTTGAGATGATTTTGTTGTTGTTGTTTTTGTTTAGGCCTAGGAGCAATTACTTGCTGTTCCTCTTGCTTTCTAACATGGTCCAGTAAATTCTTTGTAGCCACTGCTTGTCTACTGCTTTCCCCATAACCTTTGCCAACAGCTTTCTAAGGACTTTGCCTGTAATGCATTCAGAGGCCAGGTGTGCTTGCAACTCCTCCTCCCCTCTTTTAAGGATACGGGGTCTTTTGCAGGTAACTCTTCACAATGTTTAACAATACTACCAAAATATGATTTCTGATATCCAACCTTACTTTCTCACACTGCAGTTTAAGTACATTTTCCCCTCCTTTCTATTCTTGGAGACTGTGGAGCAGAGTGATTTTTCTCTGTATAATTAGAAGGGGGAAACCTTTAAGGTAAGTCCCAAGAAACTCTTTTGGTGCTATTTTTTCTCTTACACAATATTGCCTTTCATGTGATTTATCCATCAGAAAAATTTGTCTCTGCCAATGCCATCCTATTTATTTTATCCTGGCTGCAAAATTAAATTTTGTAAGCTGATCGTTTCTGTCTTAAAAGTTTAGGCAGGACTGAAATATTCAACTTTAAGTTTGGTAACTTGAGGTTGCTAATCTAACCTCCCACACAACATGGTAGTGTGGTCTACTCCCTTTAAGATAGGTGAAATCCCCTTCAACAGGGAAATCCAAAAAAGCTTATTAGCTTAGAGGACTTACATGTATTAACAGCACACATGAAGTGTCCAATTAGTGCTGTGGTCTCACATTATAAACCAAACAAGCCGTAATACAGAGTTCACTTACCTTAGTCTATAGATTCTGCCCAGACAACCCTAGATACTGTATAGGCCTCATGAAACATGCACATAAGACAGACAGAAGGTCAGAGGAGGAACTCAGAGAAGTCCATGAGAAATATTATAGAAGATCTATAACCAGGCCTAGATGCCTCCTTGCCTTATGTAACTTGTGACTTGAACACGGCATGGCTACAAAACGTTCCTTTTAGACCAGTGGACTATTCAGCTCTCTTCCCTTCATTTGGGGAACAAGAAAAATTTATTTAGGACTGGCATTTTTCTCAATAGATTATTTAGAATAGAGTGAGAAGAAACTTTGTTGATAACTGCTATAAATTAACAAAGCAGAAAAACAAATAAAAGTCCTAATGGGCAGAGCTTAAGACCTGCTTATAGCTCCTGAGCTCCATTAAAATGAAGTAGTATACATGTTTTATTCACTTGCTGCATCTTGATCATAGCCGCCCTCTGAGGATGAACTCCTATCATCAATTCACCTTCTCAATAAAGAACACCACCAGTTTGATAGACTTAAGCTCCTGAAAAATACCTGCTTTATCTTCTGCAAGTAAGCAAAGGAATGACTCCCTAGCTTAACGTTGCTCTCAAACATCAAACTGCCCACTCACCTCATTTGAATGTCCATCCAAGTGGAAAGCCCCGCCTCACATACTCCACTTAATACACCATCTCACATCCGCTGCCGAATTGGCACTTTCAAAGGTACCAACTGAACACTTATTTAGATGCCTAATTTCCTTTAGCTTTTCAAATCACTCAAATATGTAAAAAACTTGAGTATACTTTTATATTTTCATAACCAACCCCAGACATACTGTTCATCATTTCATAAAAAATATTAAGGCCAGGAGCAGTGGCTCACAACTGTAATCCCAGCACTTTGGGAGGCCGAGGCGGGCGGATGACCTGAGGTCAGGAGTTCAAGACCAGCCTGGTCAACATGGCGAAACCCCGTCTGTACTAAAAAATACAAATATTAGCTGGGCGTGGTAGCAGGTGCTTGTTACCAGCTACTCAGGAGACTGAGGCAGGGAGAATTGCTTGAACCCAGGAGGAGGAGGTTGTAGTGAGCCAAGATCGTACTACTGCACTCCAGCCTGGGTGACAGGGTGACACTCTATCTCAAAAAACAACAGAAAAAAAACCACTAACAGATAAAAATAAAAGATATCATGATTTCTCCAAAGGTGATAAGGCAAAGGATATCTCAGTGAAGTAATTATTTTCTACTTACTTGCCATATAGCAATTTGTGAGACAGGTCTAGAGGAAACTGTACATATACACATAGGATTTCTTTTTTCCATTTTAGGTACAGCTATTATAGATGTTAATAAGAAAAATATTAACCACTTGAAACAACCTAACACATTGCTGGTGGTATTTTGTATTGGTATATGTTTGCAGAAGGACAATTTGAATACAGATGTAGATACATACACAAACCATAAAAATTTGACTCTGTAATTCCACTTCCAGTAATTCATCCTCAAGAAATTATAAAACTTCCACTCAAAAACGGAGATGTAAAAATGTTCATTGTATTTTATAATAGTAAAAAAATAGAAACAACTCAAAATACCAATGATAGGAATGCATCAATAAATTATAGTACAACTCTAAGATAAAATACTTTGCAACCCTTAAAGAGCATATTTTCAAATAATATCTGACATTGAAAAATGACAATGATTAAAAGTTACATAAAAGCAATAAATATAAAAAAGTAGTTAAATATCACAAGTTTTTTTTTAAAGAAGGAAAAAGAAAATATGTGTTTTCTATTACTCATAAAAATTCTAGGTGGATATTCGCTCAACCAAATATTAACAATTGTAATCACTAAAAAGTAGGTTTATAAGTGATTTACATTTCCTTATTTATAATTTATATTCTAATTGGTCAATATGAATGTGTTTTATTTTATTAATTTTAATCAACTATTATCCCATCTCCCTAACCCTTGACACTGAGACTCCTGTACCTGTTTACATGCAGACTTTGGGAGACCCTGCAGGAAGTACGCCCAGGAAACTGCTCTCCGTTAGTGCTTATTGTCCTGTTATGAACCACTTCCATGCTCAAAAGTGTCCTGATTTACATAACAAGTTAATGGTGACCCTACCTAAATGAATTTGTAGGATTATAGACATAAAAGTCTGAAGAAAGGTAAAAAAAAAAAATTCTCAAATCTATGACCAGTCTTCTTTGATCCAAAGATTTACTAAAGCTCTACTTTAATTACAGAAGAGGGCTTGACAGAAAGGCCTTATCTCAATTTATATATATTTGGCCATTTCAGGACAGATTAAAGACGGCTTTTTATCCACCTCAAATTGTCTTTAACCCTAATACAGGAACCAGATACGACCTAAGATGCATGATAAAAATATGAACATTTAATTATTGACGTATATAAAACTTGCATTTTTTACACTGGAAGAATCAGGGTTATCAGAAACAGTTTTCCCGTATTTTTAAGCAAAATAACTTTTTTTACTGTTTGTCACATAAAGACTTTTGCAGAAACTCAACATATAAAAGTAAGTAAAACTGAGCTGCTTAATTTTGCCCCTCAAATACCTTAACGCCAAACTACCCATCCAGCCAAGCACCCCTAACAAACTCAGAGCCTCAAGAAACATGATATAGAAACACTTTATGGAGGAGGTCAACTTTACTAGTTTCCTAGCTGATTTCTAAAGCCTACTGTTCCTGCTAAAACTTACAACCTTAAAATAGTCCTATTCCTGCCTCTACGCCTTTCTAACTAGACCCTATTACCCAGCTCCCCTCAAACTCTGGCTGAGAGAAGCAACGTGAAATAACATTACTGAAGAACAGAGTGTACTTCCAATAGTTTAGGTTCTCTCAACTATACTTTGGATCAACTCAGAGCACATGAAGTTCACATACACAGATGACATTAGCCTACCATTTCTCTTTGCTGAACTGACACTTCATAACCTTTATACTTCTTTCCCAAAGTTTCATTATAAAAGAGCATTTGCTTTAAAATATTTATTAAAGAAATTGCTATTAAATCGGTGCTGATCATTTATGAACCTATGTGATTAATCTCCATTACAAATCCGTACTAGGAAAAATTCCTCCTGAGGAACTGATTTACTTTCTTCTCTTAGATAATAATAGTAATGTAACTGATCATATCTTCTTTGTCATCTTGGTTGCAAAAATCCTCAGAACCAAATTTGAAGTTCAATGGTAATATATACGTTAAACCTTTGGATGACATACTTGGGTTCTGCTTCTCCACAATGCCACTTTTATATTTATATTTACAATTTATCTTTTCATTATAGGTATTCTCATTGTAAATGCCTTGAATTTTCTAACAGAATACTGTTCATGATCTATTAACTAGCACTATAATTATATGAGTCCAAATCTGTAAATCTAGCTAATAATATTATGATCAAGGTAATATTGTTCCATCATGTCCACAACAATATTATTAGGTGTTGTTGGACAGCTTTTGAAAATATCAAGCTCCCATGAAGATAACCAAAAATGGTTCTATCACAAAATATGCACGTTATCTCAGTTACGTGAAATTAGTAATTAGTCTAGGATTGGAAACCTCCAACTGGGGCTTTCTTACTAGCTTCTGACATTTTGAGATTCAATCCCCTCTCACTTATTGTTCTAACCTTTCCAATCTGTAGATTGTCTTTCTCTTTAACCATAAATCTAATCTAAAAACAATCATTTAGGCTTACTGTGTGCCAGTTACGATTCTAAGTATCTTACATGCAACATATCACTAAATTTTCACAACCAGTGTTATCCAGTTTTAAAGATGAGAATAGTATGGTGAAGTGAAGTTAAATATCTTATCAAGGTCACACAGCATTAAGTGGCAAAGTCACAACGTGAACCCAGGGAGTCTATTTGCAGGGTTCATACTCTTCACTGCTGTTGTATATTACTTCTCTTGATTAGGATATGAAATACTAAGCTTGAATTCTACTCTAAGGGCTTAAGTAAAATATTAATAAAACAGCTCCTCTAGCAGGATTTAACTATATTTTGAAAAGATGATACTGGCCAAAGTTCTGAAAATAATTTTAATGGCTTCCCAAATAGGGCAGCATGTCATTTTCTCGAGCTGTCTTAAGTGTGAGGCTGCCTTAAGATAAGAATGGGGAAGACATTCTAAAGGTTCCTTCTTGCTCTGTCACTGTAAATTTTTCACTTTTGCATGAAAAGAGTTTTTTGCAAATGATGGGCAATTCTCAGGTCTCTATATCTTTAATTCCAGTCCTATGTAATTGTTGCAAATAAGCAAATATGGTTACTGTAGCAGATTATAAAATATTATTACTATTCATATGCCATTTTTGTGCAGGGGGCTACAGTAACAATAAAAAGCAATAAAATGGAGAAGGAATAGTCTCAACAGGTAAAATTCTTCTGAACATATTTTCTGCAACTGGGGAAAATACACCAGCACCCAAAGGAATATGGGAAACTTTACACTACATTTAAGCACAAGCACATTTTCTACTTCTTAATTTAAAAAAGTAAAGGACAGCATTAAAATGCGCATAAAAATAAACAAGCTATTTATTTACTTCTACTAATTAACATCTCTTGAGATCTCCAGGGTCTCTTAACATCTCTGGGACCTCTCTCAAAGGATGTTCTCTCTGGCAGGAGAAACAGTGATTCAAAAACTTGCTAAGTCCAGAGGGAAAAATGTCAGAGAAGAAAAGACACCCTAAAAACAAACATGTTAATTAAAAACAGGAGAAAAACATCAGCATCTTCTACCTCTACCCACTATTCCTGGGAGGACAGGGGAAATCGTCTTTCTGCTTAAAATTTTTAAAGAGCCAAATTAGTATTAATCCTCCAGAAAGAGTCAACATTTGCTCCACACAGTCATTACCTCAAAATGAAAGCAAAAGAGTAGGAGTAGAAATTTCCAATTGCTCAGATTTAAAATATATGAGATTTAGTGAAGGACATCCCCAAAAGAAAGTCTGAAGATTACCTTGTTTGTCTTGTTTTGTTTTTTTTCAGTAGTCTCAATCAAAAAGGAATAACCTAAGAGAGGTGAGAGGCATCCAAAAAGGAATGGTCAAGGATGGGGGAAGAAGACCAGGCAGGAACAGCAGGTGAGGTTGCGGGAGGCAGTGATTTGATTATTCACCAAAACACAATCTAACTAGAAGTATGATTATTCCTGGTTGAAAATTGAAAATGTGGGGAAGAAGAAAAGAATAGAAAAGGAAAGGGAAGAATCAATGAAGAAGAGTAGGAAAAAATAAAAGACCAAAAGAAAATTAAAGGTGAACAAATTAAGTCCCAAAAACACATTTTATGGTAAAATTCTAGATTTCTCCTTAGTTTTTCTTATAAAATATATTTATATTTAAAATTCAGAAGCAATATTACAAGTTTAATATAATATAAAAGGCATAGTCTTAGGAGGCAGACAACCATGAGATCAAGTCCAGCCTCTATCACTGATTAGCTGTATGGCCTTAAAAAATTACTTAACAGTGCTGAACTTTGGTTTTCCCATATAAAATGTTTATAATAAAAGTAATCAAATGATTACTATTTATCTATAAATTTATTTTAATATACATATTTATAATAGAAATAATAGTAAGTTTTCTACAATTTTATCTGCATAAAATAATTTTTCCTATTATCATATCAACATAGTTTCCATATTGCTAAGACTTCACAAGGACAACTTGGACAACTTTCAGTGCCTACAAAAATTCTATCAAATGGATGTACCTTGTCTTACATATTCATGCAATTAGTTTTCCCCATATTTTGGATTATTCCTTTAGATGAGAAGAGCTTCCCCAAAAAATGAGTGCTGACTCAAAAAGGGGCATGAATGCTGCTCTTCTCTTTTAAACATAAGAAGAAAAAAAACCCAATATCTAATTCTGCTCTTCCTAATCAAGGTTGTCTGATGAAGCCAGGGTTACTATTTACCATGATCTATAACAATGTTTTAGTTTATGTCATTTTTTAATCTTTACAGAGGCTCCTATGCTCTTCAAAAATTATCCTGAGTGAATTCCAGATTCTAGATCAATAGTTACTTTATGAACCTTCCCAGCACTCTCACCTTGCTTCACAGATAAACATACTTGCACATACACTATAAGGATGGAATTTCTCTACAGAACTATTTTCAGCCCCTATCTGCAATCACTTGGCTGTTCAATCAATATAAAGTGAAAAATTGCAGCCCAGTGTATTCAGCCGAAATTCAACTATGAGATGTTTATACATAGCAGCTTGTATATTATTTAATCGAGACTTTTATGACAACTTTTCCATTGCGGTATATGATGAATGCAATCAATCAGCAAATATACACAGACCGATCATCTAACCACTTTGAATTGTCTAAAAACTTGGTTGAAGTGCATAGACAAGTAAGAGCTATAATCAATGAAATTGGTAATGCTGGAGGGAAATCAGACTTCGATGCTTTCAGTATGCAAATGCGAAACGTGACTTCCTATATACTTTGTACTGTCCCTGTAGGCCTGCCATACTAACTTTTTAAGTCAAAAGTTCACTTGATATTTTTTAAAGAAGCTGTCGCTTTTCATATTAATATCTGCTACTTTATATTACTAGCATTCACCTACAAAGATTACATCTACCTTCTGTCATATATAAATCTCATACTAATAACTTCTTGAGTAAATAGCATTGGGAGTGTATTACTCTGGGTTTAACCACAAACTTTTGAAAGGTCGTGATATGAAAGATAGAACTCAAAAGACAAACATAAAACAATGTTCAAGATTTATAAAATTGTTGTTCCCATCTGGATTTTGCATTTTATGAAGCACATCAAGATACTCGGCAGGTGGAATATAATCCCATTTTATAGATGAAAGATGAATAATATATAAAATGTAGTTAAGCATGTATTTTAGGGCCCAATTAAATAATAAACCAAAGTACTTTACAATAGAGAAAACCGATATAAAACAAAAAATATACAATTCATTTTTGTAGATATCATGAATGGAAAACATAAGTCAGAGACCTATATACTCATAATGATACAAAAGTCCAGTATTCCGGAAGGAACATGGCCTAGTGGAAAATGTCCAGGATTTGGAATCAGAAGATCTTAAGTTTGTATGTGGACTCCATAAATAACCATGTGACTTGATCAAGTTCAAAGTTATCCTTACTTCTCTGATGGTTCCTGATCAGTACAATGGGATTGTATTTCTCTACCTCACTGAGTTTTGTGATAATTAAATAGTGTTTATGAATGCACTTGGTAAATCATAAAGCAATATATGGATTCTAATCATAAATTATATTTCTTTGACTTTCTCCAAATGCCATCAGCATTTCTACTTTAGAAATCAATTTTTTCCTGTATCTCTTTACAGTCCAGCTCTGAACTAATGGTTCGCAAATGTCACACAGTTTTCCTTTGTTCCCCAACTTTAAAGATGTAGCTGTCAATTAAGGGAGACCACAGTTTCATTCATGCAGGTGCTTTCTATAGATTTGTAGTTTAAATTGTGGATTCTTTCTATGAATTTGTTTCCTCAACAAACATTTTCAGAGGCACTGAGCACAGAGAGATAATCAAGACAAAAATTCTTCACCTTCATGGCGTTTCCCCATCTGATAAAGGTAATATCTAAATTGTCATGCATTTATCAACAAACCTGATAATGAATGGATATGCAAGCAAGTACTATGGGTGCACAGAAAAGAAAGCATTTAAATTTTTCCTAGGGGGTCACAGAAACCTTCACAAAGAAAAGGGCCCTTGAAGAATGAGTCCCTAATATCCCCATTCACAATGGCCTTGCCACACTTTCAGAACATTTAATAATTAGCAATAATTATATGAATTTATACAATCTTTTCCCTCATTAAGGTCAAGAGCCTTTAAGCTTAAGTCTCCTTAAAATATACATAGTCACTTGCATCTAGGACTACCAGAAAAGAAGTAAATAGATGTTTGTACACAGTTAAACACACCACCCTTACCCCATAAGGAGGCAAAGTGGTATCTGCCATATGTGGGCTTTAGAACTAGACCCAGTCGGTCTTAACTTCCTAACCTGCAGGTCATATGACCTTGGACAATTCATGTTACCTCACTGAAGCTGAGTTTTCATATCACAAAAATGGAGTAGTAATTGTGAGGTGCCTGGTATATCACAGAAGCTGGTTAAATGTGTGTCCCTTTCCCCCAAAGCTACCTGAGTTTTCCTCTCCAACAGCACTTACCTCCATGCACTTAACTGCCTGATTCCTTCCTCAAATGTAAGCTCTCTGCAAGACAGGGCATGCTTCTTATTCATCTTCACAGTCTAGCACCTGGGGTGATGCCTGCTATTCCATGATTAATATGTCATCGACACTTAAATAGGTGCAGAACAGCCATTTCCAAAAGAAATAGATCATTTCAGGGAGAATATGCAAAGCAATATAGCAATATTAAATTCATTCATTTATTCCATATGTATTTATTAGCAACTACAACATGCTAGGTACTAAATGCTGCAGATGCATCAGTGAACAAAATGGACAAAACGTCCTGCCTTCATGAAGCTTACATCCAAATGCAGGAAATGGACAATAAATAAATAAATCAGCAAAATATACACTAGTGAGATCACTGTTAAGTGTTGTAGAAAAACTGACTAGAGAAGAGGAAAGGGAGGGCCAAGATCTTGGAGAATTAAAAGCTTTACTGATAAAGTGACAATTGAGTATAGACCTGAACAAGGTAAGAGAGTGGGCCATATATCTGTCTAGAGGAAAAGCATTCTAATTAGGGAGGAAGGAAAAGGAAACTCCAGAGTCCTGAAGCAGGAGAATTCCTTGCGAGGAGCTGAGTGTGACTTCAGTAGGCTGAACCTGCCAGAGAGTGGTCAGAGAGGAGTTCAGAGAGATCAGTTGGGGATAGGATGGGGACTTGACCAAATAGGGCCTGCAGGCCATGGTGAAGACACTGGTTTTTACTCTGAGTGAAGTGGCAGCTGATAGGGGGTTTTGAAAAGAGGCTGACGTAATCTGACTTACACTTTAACAGAATCGCTTCAGAGCCAGGGTAGGGAAACGGTACAAGAGAAACCAGGGGGGCCAGTTAAGGAACCGTCCAATAACCCCAGGTAGGAAATAAAGATGGCTTGGAACAAGGTTACTACAGTAAAGCTGCCAAGTAGTGTCAAAGTCTGGATACCTTTTTAAGGTAGAGCTCATGGGTTTGGAATGAAGTGTTACCTCACACACTCCACAATTCACCTAACAAAGGTATATGTTTCATTTTAATAATATCTGATTCTTTCTTTACATACACACACACACACACACACACACACACACACACACACACACACACGTTTTCCAGGGATCTGAAATACACAAATTTTTAAAATTTGATAAGCCAGTTCCCATAGCAACCAAAAATTAGTGTTTTGAAGGACATAAAAAGGATATTCTGGCTGGAAACAATAGTTTTTGACCACTGAGAAAAATAAAACCAAAATGAAAGCATAGTAACCCAAGATGGCATTCTTTTAAAGGCCCCAAGTTTCTTCTCTTTCACAGTATTAATGCTAACCTATGCACCCTATCCAGTTGCTAAGGAAATGTTAAATTCTAAGAAGAGTGCAGAGCACAGAGGGGTGCCACCGGGGAAGCCTCCACCCAGCGCCTGTGATTGCCCAGCTGGGCCTTAGCTCTTCACGAGGGTGAGTCAAGAATGCAATTGTCCCAGGCATTGGCCATGCTCTTTGGGGCAATCCCATTTCCTAACACAGTGCAGTGCATTTTCACAGCACCCCTTCATCTCTTTCAGAATTCAAACACACATCAATAGAGTTAAATTTCCATACTTTCACTTCACATAGTTGAAAAAAAAAAAAAAAAAAAAACCTTCACATAAGAATCAAGTCTCCCCTGATTTTCCTCAGGAAGAACTCTATTAAGAACGTTCTCAAATGAACTACCTTCCAGGAATTACCAGTAATTGTGCATGCCAGCCCCTCCTGTTCTTTACTAAACTTGTTCTTTCTTCCAGCCAACTCCTTTCTCTGTTCCCTTCTGTATGACTCCAAAAAGAATATTAGAAACTCTAAAAAACTGTAATATTCATAAACTAGCAACAAAAATGAAACAGACTACATCAGCTCTAAAACTGCTGAAAAAGCAGCATCCACAACTTAACAGGTATGCTTTGACCAGTCACAGACTGAGACTTCTGAGTTTTTAACTGTTAAGTCTATAATTTGCCTAATTAACTAGATTTTTTAAAGCATTTATCAAAGAGAAACTTAGAGTTAAATCTAAGTTAGAGTTAAATCTATTTTTTTGAAATGCTGTCTTCTAAAATTCCTTGACACAAATTCATGAAATTCTTCTTTCTAGTACAGTTCCATTTTTAACTCTCTTCATTGGCTTTCCAGCTCCTGTCTGCTGCTCTATGCTCTCTAAAATTTCTCTTTAAAAATTGTTAATCTTCATCATTTCATGGTGGTCCCTCTCAAATGAACTACCTTCCAGGAATTACCAGTAATTGTGCATGCCAGCACCTCCTGTTCTTTACCAAACTTGTTTCTTCTTCCAGCCAACTCCTTTCTCTGTTCCCATTTCCAGCACTGCAATCTCATCAACTGGTAGCATTTCAACATATCTCCTTGATTCTAGTTTCTCTCTTGCCTTCCCTGAGCCCCAATCCACCCTACTTATGGTCCTCAGAGTGATTTCTTTCGTATCTTTCTTCTATCTCTGCATTCTAAGAACAACAGCCTACAACAAGGGAATCCTTCTGCCCACTTCTGGCCTTAAGGAGAATGAGACAGAATATCAAATTCATTGATGCCCAGTATCATTTAGCCAGCCAAAAGGACAGCACCCCGATATTCCAGCCCATTCAAACTTCTTTTAGGTCCTAGAAAGTACCAGGTTCTTTCATAACCCCAAAGCCTTCACCCATGCTGTTTCCTCTCCTTAGAGAACTCTTCTCCCCTGTCCCCTGCACATGGCCAATCTCAACCTACCTTCCAGTTCCCAGCTTTGCCATCACTTTTGCCCCCAAGAAGATGCTCTGACCTCACTGGACAAAGTTGTAGACCTGTATTCTCCCTTTCAGAGAATGGTTCCTTTTTTAAAAAATAGCTTATCTCTCTCACTGTCATGCAAGCTCTTTCTGACAAGTGCCCTACCTGTCCTGACCCCACTATAATTCCAACTTCAGCCAGTGGTATATTGTCTCGTACATAGTAGGTGCTCAAAGCATATTTTTGAAAAATGAATGAAGGAAACTGAAACAAATTTTCCGTGATCTAGCTTCATAATCCTTCCAATATACTATTCTGCCTTTGAAAGAGAAAGCATCCAAATGAAAGTTGTTGCCAAAATGAAAGTTGTTGCCAGAAGCAGCACAGAGAATAGCTCAGTCAGCATGACTGCAGAGTAAGAGCCTACCTGTAGGGGGTTTCCCTTACTCAGAAGGGTCCCTGAACTGTGGTTTGACCTGCTGTGGACTGAGATGTGGACTGAGAAGTGGACTGAGATGACTTCAGATACTTCATGTCAACATCATGTGCTGTCTCTCACCCAGGGATCCTACCAAATTTAACACAGACCAATACACTTCTCAGAGGATCTCAGGCACAAAGAAGTAGGGTTCCTCTCCTACCTTCTTTTCAAGGTCAGCCAGAACAAAAGGATGGAAGAGTAATGGCCACCTTTCTCTGTATACAGTCTCAGAGTATAGTTCCTGGAGAGTTTATTCAGTTCATGGTCCACTGTCAGACAGGATATACTGAGGATATTTGATGCATACATGAAGGGTTCTTTCAATTCATTGCCTGGTTCCCTTCCCTGTGCTGGTTCTTTCCTCACTTACATAAAATACCTCAGATTCACTCATACTTTATAACCACCAATTATCAGACCACTGTATCCGGACCCTGGACCCATCCTACCAAGGTGACCAGCAAACTCTCCTAACAAAAAAAGAAAAGATACATTTTATCTCTTGCTTGTCTTTCCCTTCCTTCAACATTCAATACAGCTCACTTTCCAAATTCTGACTTGGCTTTTATGACGCTCCTCATAGTTGTCCTCCTCTAACCCTTTGACAACACTTATTCTGTATTCTTCACTGTTTCTTTATTTATTTGGCCAAATTTACCGTAATCGTTTAAATAATACAGTAAAGCTAAGCTAAATCTGTTTAACTTTTACTACAGGCCAGTCCTATAATATATACTTTAAGATATTAACTCATTTGGTTCACAACTAGCCTATGACTAAAATATGTGTCATCTCCATGTTACAGATGAGGAAACTGAAGGACAGAGAGAATTGATAGCATGACCTAATAAGAGGTATAACTAGGATTTGAATCCAGACAGCAGAGCCCATTGCTTCACTACTATTCTATACTGAGTCTTAAAATGATGGTGGTCCTCAAGGGTCCCTCTGAATCCACAGATATTACCTGGGGGTTCTTACTCCCTTCTCTGGTTTTCATACTTGTATATTCAGATACCTCCCAAATCTATTGTTCTAGTCACTGCTTTCGTTAAGCTCAAGTTCTACATATCCAACTGAACACATACAGAATAAATTCATCATCTTTGAAATATCCTCTCAATCTTCTTTTCTTTGGAAACTTCTTCATTTGCAGAAGACATTACCATGCACCCAGTAACCTAACCCAGAGATAATGATGTCATGTTTCCTCACCCACTCTCTTACCTCCCACATCCAACAATCAGCAAGTTCACCAGATCAACTTCTTCCTCTTTAATACTTTAGCTCAGATCCTGATCTTGTCTCCGTACAACTTAGGGCCTCTTCACATAGCACTAGACTGATTTCTCTGAACCATAGTTATTCTATTCATGGCTTCTCTGACAGTATTTCCAATGAATGACTCATCTTTGCTTAAGGATAAAATCCCAATTCCTCAGCATGACACAGGATGCCTCCTTGATAGGCCCTGAATACTTGCTTGTCAGCCCTTTTTCCACTTCCTACCCTAATCTCCATGACACTAAACACAGCATGCTCATTGTCTAACCCCTGAACCTTTGTACATGCAGCTCCTCTATCTGAAACATACTGCATCACCCCCCTTTCCTTAGCCACCCACTTTCTCTCTACATGTCCACTTTGGAATCTCTACAGCCAGATAGCTTTTCTTACTTCCCATGTGCTCCTATAGCCCCTAAACCTCACTTCACTCTTTGTACCCACCATGCTGAATTGTAATTAACTATTTATATTTTTTAGATCAATTGACTGGACTTTTTTTGAGTACAGAGAGCACATCTTACACGTCTTTGCAGTAAATAACTATCTAATACAAGACCCACACAAAAAGGTGCTCAATAAATCTTTGTAAACTGACATAGCAAATAAAAACTCAGCTTTTGGAAGTTGGCCCTCCCTTTCTCCTGAATTAAGTAGGCTGATGAATACAAAGCTAACTGCATTTCAAGTGAAAGAAACAGATGGCTTTAAATCACATCAGCTCCAGCCAGGGAATATAGAGTATAGGTACACTTTTCCTTTCAAAACACCCTTAAACTTTCCCGCTCATTATTGATTCTTTCTCCTTTAAAAAATCAAGTTTTCTTTCAAATGTATAGAGAAGAATAATGAAAGTTACATGGCATAAAGATAGCCAAAGTACAGTAGTGCCTCATTGATGTAGCATCAATGAGCTGATTCACATAAAATAATTTTCTGGATTAATATGTATTTTGCCTTAAAGCAGCAGATTAATGTGTGTGCATGTTGTTATACTTACTGGAAGAAAATCAGTCTTAAGTATGTTATATACTTCTCTACCTTGATAATCAAATAATCTTTTTAAATGTGCACACAGATTGTAACTGAAGGTAATTTTTTAAAAGTAAACCATGGCCCTATTTTGTTAAAACGTAAACGTATACATTTATGTTTACATTTGTATTTATATTATGTAGTTCTTCTAAAATGTTAACAGTTAATATCTCTGGCTGTAAAATTATGAGATTTTTTTATTTTGTTATTTTATCTGACCTATATTCTCTAATCATTCTAAAATAAAATGTATAAATTGTTATAAAAATGTTTTTAAAATTAAGACTATATTCATTTTAATATTTTATTGACAAGATAAATCTACCATGATGAAGCTCCATATTTATTATATTGATAAAGTTAGAAACTATACAGTGTAAAAGATGTTTTTAGTGAACCAATCCAGAATATTATGCTTTCAGATTTCTTGGGAATATATTCTCTAAGCCCCTCTATCAGTTTACAGCCATACCTTCTTTTTCGTTATCAATTCCTACTTCTAGAAGCCCTCTTTTCCCTTTTTCAAATATTGTATTTGTAAATTGGCTGAATTCATTTTGTAAAATAGAGTGATCCTTTCTTGGGATCTTGAAGTGTAATGTTAAGCATTTGTAGAATACAGACACTGTGACATCTGTTTTCAATTTTTATTTATGGTAATAGTTATGAGTATATTTGGACTTTGGAATATGGTTCAGCTCCTAGCTTCACAATAATGAGCACTGTGACCTTGGACAAGTGATTCAATTTTTATAAGCCTCAGTTTTCTCCTCTATAAATAAGGAGAGCAATAACCATTGCAGAGGGTTATAATGATTAAATGAGATAATGAGGACAGTACTCAGAATTAAAAAAACATAGCAAGTACCCAGTAAGTGGTAGCTGTTGTTACTTATGTTGTTATTATGGTTTACTTATTGCTTCTCAGTTATTTCTCAGACATAGTCATCCCTTGGCATCCCAGGGAACTGGTTCCATGACTCCCATGGATACCGAAATCTGCAAATGTTTCAGTCCCCTATACAAAATGGTGCAATATTTGCATACAACATAGGTACATCCTCCTGTGTCCTCTAAATCATCTTTAGATTACTTATAATACATAAAACAATGTAAATGCTATGTAAACACTTGTTATTCTGTAGTTTTTAAATTTTATTGTTTTTTTAATTGGGTTTCCTTTCTGATTATTTCTCATCTGCAGTTGGTTATATTCATGGGATGTAGAGTCCACAGATACAAAGAGCCAACTGTATAAAGGTTGTCAGATAACTGAGTTCTAGGTAAGCAAAGTATTTTTATATGTAAGCAACTGGTTACAGAAGAGTCACCTAGAAAGCCAAGTCAGGATAATCTTACCCTTAGGAGTAGAAAAACCAGATGATAAATGTGTTAAAGTTTTTAGCAATTTACAGTTCAACTAATACCCAGTAAATTATCTGAGAAAATAATTTTGAGTGGATGCTACATATACAAGGAGAAACATGACATAAGACTACAGCTCTGAACCACTAACTATAAATCTGAAGAAGCCACGCTTATGATCTACTTGTTTTGAATACGCTTATGTCTGTTAATTTGGAGCAAGGTTACAAGATTGGAAACCATGTGGTAGAAAGAGGTCTTCTTATCTGATCAGAAATCTTTAAACATAGGAAATGTTTTATCTTTTATTTCACCATCACTGGAATACTAAATAATAGTGGCCCGGATAGAAGTATACAATGAAACATTTTACTGAAATACAAATGAACCATAATGGTTCTTAGGGGAAATAAAGCTTAGTTGCACTGGTGGCTCAAAAGAGGTCTTACAAAGTTGTCTTCAAGTGGCATTTGTCAATAACACATTACAGGTTAACAACTTTTTTCAAAGTATTTTTTCTAAGAAAAAAGTAATAGATGTTCATTACAGAAAAGTTAGCAAAAACATAACTGTAGATGAGAGAATAAAAATTATACATAACTCACCACCAGGAGATAAACATTATTAAGATATTTTGATACATTTCCTTCCTTTTGTGCTTATTGTCTTTATATTTATACATTTATATATAAAATCATGCTGTTATAGGCATTTGTATCCTGCCTCTTTTTTGACTTATTATAATATAAGCATTTTATAGGGCATTAAAATTCTTCGTAAGCATCGTTTTAAAAAGCTGCATAAATGTTCCATTGTAAGGCTATACCATAATTTACCTAGATGTTTCCTCATTCTTGAATATTTAGGCTATGTCCAAATTTTGTTGTTGTTGCTCACACACAGAAATTTTAAAGATGTTTTTCAAAAGAAAACAAGTTTATTTCGTAGGCAAATGATGTACTCAGTGAAACAGACAGTGATGATACGTTGGTGCAGTGGATTCACTGCTAGCCTCAGGTTCAATCAGAACAGGCATTTATCTGTCCTTCAAGCAATAATTCATTTTAATTCAGGCTTTCCATTCCTAGCTGCTTCCTCACAAATGTGTTTTCCATCTCACACAATTGCAAAGACTGAGCCATAAAGCTCACTTTTTTGACAGGTGGCATTTAATTTGTCTGTAGGTCAAAAGCCCTACTATCTCTTGTTGCCAGACTGAATAGAGGCAGGGAGACTCACTTACAATCCTCCCCATGTGTAATCCTTCTCCTTTGTGAGAATATTTACCTCTTCTTCCAGTTCAATTATTGGCCAGTCTGTCAGATGCAAAGATGCCTTCCCTGAGTTTCTGGGGTTCTTTAGAATTAACTTTTATTCCCAGTCCCTTACGACTCTTGAAGTATCTGTCTCCACAGGGACCAAAACTCCCTATCAAAGGACTCCACCCCACCGTAAGAAGGGCTCTATTTCCTTCAGAACAGGCCTCTTTCTCTACACTAGAAAGTCATGAGAGAAACATAAATGTTCCACCTATGTCATTAGATGAAGAGCTTAAACACTGAGATAATAGAAGTAGTAACAGCAAGAAGCAAAGCCTCGGCGAGGCTATTAATAATGCAACGTGTGATCATGCAGATTTCACATACAAAAGAGAATATTATAAGCATATTTAATATGAAATACAAAAACTAAAGGAGAGTGAGCTAGGCACTTCAGTTGACTTTTCTTGGAACCTAATAATTTATCAATCTAAATATATAGAGAGCTATCACAAATGCAATCTAAAGTAAAAGTATAACAGCTTATTAGGGTCAAAATAGGGACTTCAAAAGAAAAATAGAATAAAATTTATCGAAAAAATAAAACAGGAAAGTTTGTGAAGCAGAAGAGAGTGAAAGACTTCACTCTCGGCCAGGCACGGTGGCTCACGCCTGTAATCCCAGCACTTTGGGAGGCTGAGGTGGGCAGATCACGAGGTCAGGAGTTCGAGACCATCCTGGCTAACATGGTGAAACCCCATCTCTACTAAAAATACAAAAAATTAGCCAGGCATGGTGGTGCATGCCTATAATCCCAGCTACTCAGGAGGCTGAGGCAGTAGAATTGCTTGAACCTGAGAGGTGGAGGTTGCAGTGAGCCAAGATCGTGCCATTGCACTCCAGCCTGGGTGACAGAGGGAGACTCTGTCTCAAAAAAAAAATAAATAAAGAGACTTCACTCTCCAGCTGACTAACCATAATCAGACCATTTTACACTTCAAAAGATTAGCACACTCTCTGGAGGTAGACATCATAAGAAGTAACGAAGAGTGGGACTAATAAAGGCTTATTCCCACTGCAAATAAAATGCAATTGGATTAAATAAATATCTAAATTATAGCACATGGTATTTTTTGCTTTATCTCTATCCCTAAATAATAACATTTCAATATCAGAGGCATAGTACAATTGCACAGTCTTTGTTGTTCAGATAAAATAAATGCAATAATATAGACAGTCCTTGTAATGCTGCCTGGCATCGAGATCCAATAGATGTCAACTGGCTCTGTTTATTTTATACAGAAGCTTATACAGGGCTTTTATACAGGGCTTAATAGAATGACAACAGAACTTGTTTTTATGCATTACACTTAATGAATCATCTAATTTTTATTTTCTTATCATTAAAATAGGAACTTTATTTTTCTTTTTATTGACTTAGGGAGAGACAAGTACAGATTTCTTACATGCATATATTTAAATAGTGGTGGAGACGGGGCTGTCAGTGTATCCATCACTGGAAGAGTGAACATTGTACCCAACAGATAATTTTTCAACTCTCACCCACCACCCACCCTCTCACCTTTTGTAGTCTCCAGTGTCTATTATTCTACTCTCTATGTCAATGTTTACCTTTTGTTTAGCTCCCACTTACAAGTGAAAACATGTGGTATTTCAATTTCTGTTTCTGAGTTATTCACTTAGGATAATGGCCTCCAGTTCTATGTGAATGTTTACCTTTTGTTTAGCTCCCACTTGTAAGTGAAAACATGTGGTGTTTCAATTTCTGTTTCTGAGTTATTCCATCCATGCTCCTGCAACAGACATGATTTTGATTCTTTTTTATGTCTGAGTAGTATTCCACGGTGTACACATACATATATATGTGTGTATATAATAAATATATATATATATTTCAATCACATTTTACTCAAGTATCCATTGATGGACGCTTATGTTGGTTCTATTACTTTGCTATCATGAACAGTGCTGTGATAATCATAAAAGGGCAGGTGGTATTTTATAATGATTTCTCTTTGTGTATATACCCAGTAGCCAGACTGCTAGATTGAATGGTAGTTTTATTTTTAGTTCTTTTAAGACATCTCTATATTGTTTTACATAAAGGTTGTACTAATTTACATTCTCACCAACAATGTAAATTGTTGTATGTGTTCTCTTTTTTCCACATCCTTGCCATCACCTGTTGCTTTTAAACTTTGTAATAAAAGCCATCCTGACTGGTGTAAGATGTTAACGTCTTTTAATGATGAAAGACAATTTATTTTTCTTTTAATTATGCTTTTGACAAGGTATGTTATAAAATATTGAAATTTCAAAGACATTCATCAATATTATGATAAATCTCTTTTTTTTTTTAAGAACACATAAAGCTGAACCTCCCTTGCTTTATACCAATCAACATCCAGAATTTAAACAAACAAAAACAGGTAGGTGCTTCTTTGCTTAAAACTAGTTTATCTGCCAGGCGCAGTGGCTCACACCTGCAATCCCAGCACTCAGGGAGGCCGAGGCAGGCAGATCGCTTGAGCGCAGGAGTTCAAGACCAGCCTGGGCAGCATGGCAAAACTCTGTCTCTACAAAAAAGAAATACAAAAATTAGCCGGGCATGGTAGTGTGCACCTGTGGTCCCAGCTATTCGGAAGGCTGAGGTGGGAGGATTGCTTGAGCCCAGGACATCAAGCCTTCAGTGAGCCGTGATTGTGCCACTGCACTCCAGTCTGGGTGACAGAGCAAGACCCTGTCTCAAAAAAAAGTGATTTCTCATTTTATAAAAGAATTCTGTTCAAAGTAGCAAACTCTTAAAAATCTAAATTACTGTTTAAAGAGCAGTATATTATTCAAATATTATATTGACAAACACAGATTAGAATTATCTAAATCCCTGGGGCCAAATTGTTTGGCATTCAGAATTTTTCAGATCTTAGAGAGGCAATATGATACATATATGTCCAGAAGTGTCTGGAGAGTCACACGCTAATCAAACTCATTAATATTTTTTCAGGGAATCCTAACAATTTTCATATTAAATATAAATAAGGTCTACAATTAAACTCATACCAGATCACTGTAGATTTTGCAACCAAATTAGTTTGTGCAACAAATAACAATAAAAAGTACCTGCCAGTGTTTGGAGCTTTTGGATTTCAAAATTATGGATAAGGGATTATGAAATTATTTTTTATTTGAACACATACTGTCAGGTAAATCAGTCTACTATATAAATTTAAGTAGAATAAAATAATCTAAGAAAGAAAAAGTGTAGCTTGTATGCTGATGTCACGTAGATAAAACATCACTGGAAATAGAAATAACTTTTATGAAAACCGAAAGACAAAAATCTGGTGAACAAAAAACTGATAAGTATTTAAGATAATGCATATGTTAATTGGCTTGATTTAGCTTTTCCACAATGTGTACATATTTCAAAATATCATGTTATACACCATAGACATACACAATTTTTATTCATCAATTAAAAAAATTTAGAAATAACAAATGTTTGCAAGGATGTGGAGTAATTGGAATCTTTGTGCATTGCTGTGAGAATATGAAATGGTACAGCTACTATGGTAAACAGTATGGAAGTTCCTTTAAATTAAAAATAGAACTACCATATGATCCCATAATCCAACTTCTGGGTATATATCCAGAGGAATTAAAAAAAAATTTAAAGTATAGGATCTGGAAGAGATATTTGCACACCAATAGCCAAGAGTAGTAAGCAACCCAAATGTCCATCAGTGAATGAATAGATACAGAAAATGTAGTATTTACATTCAATGAAATATTATCCAGCCTTAAAAAAGAAGGACCCAGGGGACAAAATTATCTGTATACCAAACCCCCATGACACACAGTATACCTTTATAACAAACCTGCACATGTACCCCTGAACCTAAACGTTGAAAAAAATTCAAAAAATAAGGAAATCTTACCACATGAAACAACAATGATGAACCTTGTGGACATCATGCTAAGTGAAATAAGCCAGTAATAATAAAGACAAATCTATATGATTCCACTAAGATGTGGTATCTAAAATAGTTAAACTCAGTTAGAAACTAGAATGGTGGTTGCAAGGGGCTGGGAGAGGGGAAGATAGGGAGTTGCTCAAGGGCTATAGAGTTTCAGTTTTGCAAGAGAAAAAGTTCTCAAGATCTGCTACACGCCAATACAAATAGTTAACATTAATGAACTGTACATTTTTCAGCGGTTACAATGGTAAATTTTATGTCTTTTTTTATACAATTAAAAAAATTAAAGATGGTGAAACTGAAGCATGTGTCCCCTAAAACAAAAAGGATTTCAGGGGCCTCTAGGGCAGATGTAGCCTGTAAAATGACCGTCTTGGTGTAAGGTACCTTCAAATCTGCTCTGATTATTTTCTATCCCCATCCAAAATCTTCTGGCCATGAGGCCAAAGCCACTTTTTTTTTTTTCCAGACAGAGTTTTGCTCTTGTTGCCCAGGCTGGAGTACAATGGCACAATCTCACTCACTGAAACCTCTGCCTCCCAGATTCAAGCGATTCTCCTACCTCAGCTTCCCAAGTAGTTGGGATTACAGGCATGCGTCACCATGCCCAGCTAATTTTTTGTATTTTTAGTAGAGATGGGGTTTCTCCATGTTGGTCAGGCTGGTCTCAAACTCCCAACCTCAGGTGATCTGCACCCCCTCGGCCTCCCAAAGTGCTGGGATTACAGGCATGAGTCACCGTGCCCAGCCAAAGCCGCATTTTTTAAGGCAAAGTAGAGCCTTTAAACGGAACATACGTTATGGGCAAAACCCATAAGAGGCATTTCCAGAAACTGACAACCACAGAAACATATTTTACCTCATGCTGCATGTTTATAAGTGTATAGAAAACACATGATTTTAAAAAGGGTAAGTGAATGCATACTCCCAGTTATTACTGTTTTTGTATAATCTGCATCCTATTATCACTGTCACATCCCAGGATTAAAAGTAGATCATTTACCCTCTCCCCATAACAATTTCTAGTGCAATAATCTTGGGTCTTTCTGGTTTTCAATACACTTTGATGGTATAAACCTTCAGGCCAATTTGATGTTAGTTTTTACTTCTTTCTCTGTTTTCTCATAGAAAATTAAATATTTTCTTGATAATATTTGGGTATAATGATAGGGTGTCATTATTATCAACCAGAAATAGTCTTCAAAGAAAAAATATTATTTAATCACCTCTTACCAGGACGGGCTTAACCAAAACTGGAGCAAAACAAAAGACTGTTACGTTGGGTTGACAATCCTCTACATTTAAATGATAAATGTTAATAACTGTATATAACAGTAGTATTGGAAACAGACTGTAAGTAAGGCTAATTAATCCTTGAAGACATGTATTTTAGAACAAAAACAATGTCATGAAACATATACCAAAGTTTTAGCAGACAAATGAGAACACTGAGTCCAGAAGGTGTGTTGTAGTCTCATTAGCTAACGTGTAGCAAAGCCAGAATAAGAACTTCTAATGCTTACAATTAATTTAAGTTTGGGATAGATAGTTTTTTAATGGGACGGGGGTCAGTGTGGGGAGTGGAGAAACACAAACAGAAGGTAGATTCTCAGTGACAAATTTTAATTCTTTTCCCTCAATTAAATTAGAATCTAGCTAAAGAAATAATGTGGGCAATGAAATAAAAGTTGACAGAAAATGTTGAAAGGGACTTTAAGAGACCCTAGGATTTAGATGAGGGAAAAGAGGGAGAGAGCTTTCTGATGGGATTGAAATTGGGCAATGCAACAACCTATCTTCAGGCATACTTAGCCACTACAAGGAATTCCTCAGTTATTCAAAGAACCAAAAAATATTTAGAGCCTTTACAACCATCACTAGGTCATTAGAGTAGACTATGAGCTCTCTGGTCCTTAAATTTTAATGAGCCTGAGCCCTTTAAATGTGGCACTGAGAGCAACTTTAGATACAAAACAATTAAAATGTTAATGAGATTTCTACTGCAAATAGATTTATGAAGGGTGGAGGGGACACTGACTGTGTTGCTTACTGGCCCAGACTTGTGACTGTTAGTTAAATTCAAGCAAGATTTGCTTTACAAAAGATGTTAGGCATACCTTTCAATGGCTGATGCCTATGATATTTCTCATAGCAAAATTCATTTCAGTATTGCATATAACATGCCTAAAGCCCAGTACAAATATTATTATGTTATCACATAATTGATCAATGTGTATTGCTGGGTCTTGAGTTTTCTACTTGTTTTGTTTTACATGTGGTATTCCAGTACATTTAAAAGAAACTCATATACATTTTTGCTCATCTCCATACATACAGGGTTCAAAAGTTCAAAAGATAAGAAGTAGTTCTCAGCATGAGTAAACCATTAAATGCATTGAAAAATGAATTTTTGATGTGAAGATACATTCCCAGTTTATTCATGCTGAGAATTTTTTTCTTATCTTTTGGACTTTGTAAGCTGGAACAGCAAATTTTATTTAAACTTCATAATAAATAAGCAATATAATTTGACTTATTTTATTATCATGTTCTTTTCTCCAGCTTTATTGAGGTATGATTGACAAATAAAACTGCACAAATTTAAGGTGTATAACATGATGATCTGATATACATGTACACTGCATTGTCAAATGATTACCACAATCAAGTTAGTTGGCACATCTATCATCTCACCTAGTTACCTCTCTTCCCCCATGGTGAGAACATTTAAGATCTCTCTTAGCAAATTTCAAGTACACAATACAGTATTGCTAACTACAGACTATGCCGTACATTAGATCCCCACATATACTTTTGTTTATAACAAAAGCCTTCACAGCATAACAAAAATCTGCAGGTTCGGCAACTTAATATTAGTATTTTGCCCTTCAGAAAGGAAAAACTATTCAAAATTCAGTTACTTTCTCTTGCTTGGCATCCACTACATTCACTCATGAAAATAGTTTTCATAATAATTCAGAGAAACAAAACCTCAAGTCTCCTGGGATTGCTTCTTCTCTCAAGAGTAAAACTCACTAAAGCTCAGAATTACTGTCAATTCTTAATTAACCATATCAGTGAGGAGGAACATTAAACACCACTGAAAACTGTCCACTGAAGAATGACAGAAAACATTTTCCAGATCATCAGTTGACAAGCCACATAATTTATATACTACAAGGAGTTGATTTAACAGAATCGTCTGGAAGTGCCTTTACTAATTCCAAACACGTTTTCGCTGTTATCACATGGTTATCACAAATAGATTTTTTAAAAGAAACTATAGATCTCCAGATACCTATGTCAGACAAAAATATCAGTTAAGATTGCTGAAACAGACAAACATGTAATTAATCCTATCTGAGGGACCTGGAAGTATTTGTGAAATAGGTGACTTTTGTGCTGGGCCTTAGAGATTGGCCTGGAAGAGAAGAGAAGGCAGGGAGTTTGCTGAGAGGAAAGGCACCATGGCAGAAAAATGTGAAGGGCATTTGGGGACGCTAGGTATTTGGAGAGGAAAGAGCTGCAAATGCATGGAGCCAATGATGGTGACAAAAGATGCCACAGTGTATATTGGCCCCAGGAGACACTGCCCTTCCAACAACCTCCAAGGCCTTGCACGCTCTGCTCTCTTCCTACAATGAATGCACTTCTGACCCCAATCCTACCTTGCCTACAAATGCCACCACTTCCAGAAAGCTTCCCATGATTTCCTCTCACAAATTTATTTTCTCCTTTCTTAAAGTACTACTTGAGTTTTAACTCCTTTAAGGTACTTGACTATCCTATCAACAAAGAACATAATACTTGCTTATAAGCTCCCTGGGGGTGGAGACTCTATCTTACCCACCTCTACAGAAGAACCTAGAAAAATGCCTTGATGATTGTGAATTGATCCTGAATTGTGCCCCATCTGTAATTAATTCTGCTGGAGTAGCAGGACTTTCTTTCTACAGTCATTTCTGGCCATAGTAATAATGAGCTCAGAATGATGGCAGATACAGAGTAAATGTTTAGCCAGGCAAAAACACAGCCTGTCAATATAAGAGCACTCCACAGGAGTTTCCACTTCTTGTCATCATGACCAAAAGTGATGGCTATGACAGCGAAGTTCTCAACTAGAATGATGTTCTTCCAGTGATGTTCTATTTATGTAGCTCTAAGTCAATCATTTTTTAGTAGTGACACTTTTAACTATACAAGTTTCTACTTTATTTAACTTCCCTGAGGCCTTCCATAGCATATACCACTCTTTCTTTCCTTCCTCTCAGGCAGTTTCTTAACTTCCTCCTTAGGCCCTTTTTCATCTGTCCTCTGTTCTTATATTAAAATATCCAGGTTTCCTTCCTCAATAATCTTTTTTCCTCACTTTTTTATATACACTTGTTTCCTACCACTTCAACAGCCAAATATAGCTCCAGCCCAGATCACCTTCCTGAGCCTCAGGCCCCTTTAGTGGATTTCTCTAGAACGTCTCCAGCTGAGATCCCACAGACACAGAAATGCCCACATAGTCAGTCACTGCTGAATTCATCATCTTCTTCTCCCATAAGGCTCCTTTCTCTTGTGTTTCTGATATTCTCCATTACCCAGAGGCCCCATCAAGTCTGTCTTTCTCTCTTACCTCCATGCATTCATCAACTCCTATTGCTATTTATCTTTCAGATCTGTTCCCTTGTTTTATTACCACCACTATTTCTTTTGGTTATTAGACTCACACCGCTTCTCTCTGGACTCAACAGCCCTAAACTTATCTTTTACTGTAGCCTCATACAGATTATTCTCCCCAGTCATACTGTTAAGAACATGATTTATGGTTTTCCTAATGGGGAGATCTTGCTGCCTTCTTGCACATATTCTTTTCACCAACTGGAAACGACCACCACCATCACCATCTTTACCACTCATCCAACCTCTACTCAGAGTCAATAACTTGAAAACCTACCCTGAGGTCCTGTATTCTTTCTTCTTATAGTTGGGTTACATGTACCATCTCTGCCAATTTTGTATTGGTAGGCTCTAGTCTGTGTGCTGATCTCCCTCCTGATCTATGAGTTGCTTAAAGAAAGGAATCACCTTACTTCCTTCTGTATCCCCAATGCCTAGCAAAGTACTTGACAATGAATAAATCTTTGCTAAATGGAAATAAAAAGAAAAGAAATCAACTACATATTCAGCAACTGGGTTAGTAATTTGATTTCAGCATCAGTGGAGAAAAGACAAGTGCTTGGAATTTGAACACAGCCCCTTAAGTAAGCTCATTAAACCTTTGTGTTCGTCTAGTTTTAATATGTTCCTATCTATTTTAAAAGAATGGGAAAATCAAGCACTGGATTCAACAAAAGAGAAAAAATACTAGATTTAAGCCATAGCAAAACCTATGCTACTAAAATGGGAAAGCAACATGTTAGGGATGTTGGGAGACAATTCTTCAAGGTCTCTTGCATTTCTGCTTGTGAAAAAGCCTTGACAGCTTTTTTCTGGAAGGATGTTTCTATAAAAAACAATCTTGGAAGATGAAGAGAGTGTCTTCTGCCAGAACTGAGGGCAGAGTTGCTTCCTGAGCAAGATAATAAAGTTCATTCTCCCTCTAACGGCAAGGGTTGGCAGGTTTGCTAGCAGTCCCCTTAGAAGACTGAAGGTTGTCTAAGCTCCAGGTTCCCTATCTGTGACACAAACTCATGGTATGCACAGTATCCATTGGAGCCACTCCTCATTGCCTTCATGGAACTTAGCAAGGAGGCAAGGGCAAGATAACTGATGCAAACATGAAGCTCATGCTGCCTGCTACAGACTAAGGAACTAATAAAGTCATTTGTCTTTGCCCAGGAATCTCATGTCTTCTAGCAGCAACTATGAACTGTGGCAGACTAACTCATTATCTTGAAGGTAAAGTAAAATCTTAGACGCATCACAGATCTTGAGTAGCAGAAGGGGACTACAGGCAAATTTAAAAAAACAAAAAGCAAAAAATAAATAAATAATAAATAAAAATAACTATGTACTCAATAAATGTTTATAAAATTAAATAATACCAAAAAGATAAGGCCTTGAATACAGTGTGGTAATTAAGTGCTCAGATTCTAGAGTCAGACAGCCTGGGTTTATACCCTAGCTTTATTACTTATTAATTACATGACCTCTCCCCTGAGCTTCATACTGTTATATGTAGTTTCTCCAGAAAACCTTAACTTCCCTGGACTTCAATTTCTTCATCATAAATGTTGATACAAACATTACCTTCTGATAGGGTTGCTGTAAGAATTAAATGAGTTAAAATATGCAAAGTACTTAAATTATTCCTGGCACATAATAAGTGCTATTTAAGAACAATATTATGAATCCCTGAGCTGATTTCATGGATAATCAGAGTTCTTAAGAAAGGAAATGATGTCACTAGATCTTTGCTTTAAAAACCAATCTAGATAAAAACTAAGTAGTATATATAATAAAATAAAGAGGATTGAGAGGATATGAAAGAGAAGATCAACAAAGAGATAACTGTAGTAGCCTAGGAGTAAAAATAGCATAACAGGCTTAAGTGTTGGCATCAGGAATAGGAACTAATTCAACAGATATTTTGTTGTAGGTGTTGACAGAATTTGGCAACTGATAGGAATATAAATATTAACTTATATTTATCGAATTGCCATAAACAAAAGCCTTTTCACAACCATCTTACCTAAAGCTCATAATAAAACAACAATGTAAACTGGGAGACAAGTAACAGAGATTTAAAAAAAATTCAAATAAGACAAAGGAGAAGACAGACAAAGTACCTGAGAAGAAGATATAGAAGGAGACAATAATGACTAGAGATGATCTAAGAACATTTTGAGTCTGAAATCCATGGAGATGATAAATCTATAGTTGAAAATGCAAGTCTATAGCTCCAAAGAGACTGGGGCTGGATGTACAGATCTGGGTCTCATAAAAATAGCACATATGATGGAAGCCAGTGGGAAGAGATAAACCAGTTAATGTATAAAGAATGGAAAGAGAAATAAAGATAGAAGGGGAGAATGCAGGCACCAATGGAGGAGGAGAACTACAGATGATACTACATGTACAAAGGAAAAGTACGAGATGTAAAAAAAGTAGAAAATAGGAATTAGTAATGTCACATGCTACAGAAAAATAAGGGTTAGGCAAATTCTGAAAAGAGGGTAGCCTCTGAAAAGGACATTCAGCAGAGGAGGCCACAGTGCAATGGGTTAAATGACTGATGATTAGAAAAAAACAAAGGAAGCAGCATTAATGAGCTGTTTTTCAGCAATGGAAGGTGAAGGAGAGAAGAAGCAAAGTCAACACAGACCTGTATATAGACAAAACATCTTATAGACATACAGTAGAGACAGATGTAGAATGCAAGACTTGAATATGATTGGAAAAAGAGAAAAAACAGTAGAATGGAAAGAGATGGGAATGAATGATAAAAAAAGAAATGACAGAGAAAATATTTTTTAAATGGGATCTGGAACATACAGGGAGGGATTACCTTGAAACAAGAGTGGTAAATGTATTTCTATGAAACACAGAAGAAAGAAGAAAAGTAAACATATGTAAATAATATTAAAACTGAGGACAGGGACACTGAGAAAATCCATATAATAAAATGTCAATATCATCAATAAAGTATGAACTGGAATTGACTACTAAAACTAAAGGGCAAAGGTTTGAATCTACTTGGGGAGAATAGGAGCAAGAGCAGCTACTGCTGAATTTAGGTAAACAGATCCAGACTGAGTAAAAAGATCAGAGTCTCATAGTTTGAGAGCATATGAAGGAAAAGCCAAAGGTAAAGGGAACAGCACGGAGTATGGTGATTATGAACAGAGCTCTGGAGCTAGACAGGATGGGTCTATACCCCATTCTACCACTTCTCAGCTATGAAACTTCATGATAGTTGCCTAACCTCTTGATATGGTTTGGCTGTGTGTCTCCACCCAAATCTCATCTCAAATTGTAATCCACATGTGTCGAGAGAGGGACTTGGTGGGAGGTGACTAGATCATGAGGGTTGTTCCTCCATGCTGTTCTCATGACAGTGAGAGTTCTCATGAGATCTGATGGTTTTAAAGTGTTTGACAGTTTTCTACTTGCTCTCTCTCTCCTGCCACCATGTAAGATGTGCCTTGGTTCCCCTTCACTTTCTGCCATGATTGTAAGTTTCCTGAGGTCTCCCCAGCCATACAGAACTGTGAGTCAATTAAACCTCTCTCCTTTATAAATCACCCAGTCTCAGGTCATTCTTTACAGCAATGTGAAAACAGACGAATACAGAAAACTGGTACCAGGATAGTGGGGTACTGCTATAAAAATAGCCTGAAAATGCGGAAGCAACTTTGGAACTGAGTAACAGGCAGAGCTTAGAATAGTTTGGAGGGCTCAGAAGAAGACAGGAAAATCTGGGAAAGTTTGAAACTTCCTAGAGACTTGTTGAATGGTCTTATCCAAAATGCTGATAGTGATATGGACAATGAAGTCCAGGCTGAGGTGGTCTCAGATGGAGATGAGGAACTTATTGGGAACTGGAGCACAGGTCACTCTTGCTATGCTTTAGCTTGCTATGCTTTAGCAAAAATGCTCAAATCTCTGGGGCATTTTGCCCTTGCCCTAGATATCTGTGGAACTTTGAACTTGAGAGAGATGATTTAAGGTATCTGGCAGAAGAAATTTCTAAGCAGCAAAGTGTTCAAGATATAACCTGGCTTTTTCTAAAAGCTTACAGTCATATGCATTCACAAAGAGATGATCTGAAATCAGAACTTATGTTTAAAAGGGAACCACAGCATATAAATTTGGAAAATCTGCAGACCAACCACAAGTAGAACAGAGAAACCCATTTTCTAGGGAGAAATTCAAGCTGTGGCTGCAGAAATTTGCATAAGTAAAGTGAAGCAGAAAATGTCTCCAGGGCATTGCAGAGATGTTTATGGCAGCCCCTCCTATCACAGGCCCAGAGGTCAAGGAGGGAAGAATGGTTTCCTGGGCCAGGACCAGGGCCCTGCTGCTCTGTGCATCCTTGAGACACAGAGCTCTGAGTCCCAGCCACTCCTGCTCCAGCCATGGGTAAAAGGGACCAAGGTACAGCTTGTGCCATGGTTTTAGAGAATGCAAGCCCCAAGCCTTGGAAGCTTCCACATGGTGTTGGGCCTGAGGGTGCACAGAAGAGTTGATGTTTGGGAACCTCTGCCTGGATTTCAGAGGATGTATGGAAACACTTGGATGTCCAGGCAGAAGTCTGCTACAGGGGCACAGCCCTCATGGAGAACCTCCATTAGGGGAGTCAAGAGGGAAAATGTGGGGTTGGTGCCCCCACACAGAGTCCCTACTGGGGCACTGCTTAGTGGAGCTTTGAGAAGAGGGCCACTGTCCTCCAGACCCTAGAATGGTGCATCACCAACAGCATGCACCATGCACCTGGAAAGACTGCAGGCACTCACACCAGCCCATGAAAGCAGCCACAGGGGCTGCACCCTGCAGAGCCACAGAGGCAGAGCTGCCCAAGGCCTTGGGAGCCCATCTCTTGTGTCAGCATGCTCTGGATATGAGACATGGAGTTAAAGGAGATGATTTTGGAGCTTTAAAATTTAACAACTGCTTTTTTGGGTTTTGGATATGCATGAGGCCTGTAATCCTTTGTTTTGGCCAACTTCTCCCATTTGAAATGGGAACATTTACCCAATGCCTACACCCCCACTGTATCTTGGAAGTAACTAACTTGCCTTTGACTTTACAGGCTCATATGTGGAAGGAACTGCCTTGTGTCAGGTGAGACTTTAAACTTGGACTTCTGAATTAATGTTGGAGTGAGTTTAGATTTTGAGGGACTGTTGGGAAAGCAAGATTATGTTTTGAAATGTAAGAAGGACATGAGATTTGTGAGGGAACAGGGGCAGAATTATACAGTTTGGCTTTATGTCCCCACCCAAATCTCATCTCAAATTGTCATCCCCATGTGTTGAGGGATGGACCTGGTGGGACGTGATTAGATCATGGGAGCAGTTTCCTCCATGCTGTTCTCATGATAGTGAGTGAGTTCTCATGAGATCTGATAATTTAAGTGTTTGGCAGTTCCCGCCTTGTTCTCTCTCTCTCTCTCTCCTGACACCATGTAAGACATGCCTTTCTTCCCCTTCACCTTCTGCCATGATTGTAAGTTTCCTGAGGTCACCCCAGCCATGCAGAACTTTGAGTCAATTAAACCTCTTTCCTTTATACATTACCCAGTCTCAGGTAGTTCTCTACAGTAGTGTGAAAATGGACTAATACACCTCTCTGTGCCTCAGTGACCTCATCTGAAAAAGATGATGGTGTTATCTACCTCATATGATTGTTGTTAGGATTGAAGATATTAATATACAAACTGCTAAAAAATGTTTTACCCATAGAGAATGCACACAGCCTTCTCTTCTCAAATTCATTTTCTGCTCATTTAATGTGCCTGACCTCAAAAGAAAAAAACTCTTTTCCAATTAATTTAAATTAATGAGTAAACCCAGACTATGTTTAAATTATTTCTAAGTTTAAGGGGATTATTGGCCTGGTGTGGTGGCTCATGCCTGTAATCCCAGCACTTTGGGAGGCTGAGGTGGGCGGATCACTTGAGGTCAGGAATTCAAGACCAGCCTGACCAACATGTAAACCCTGTCTCTACTAAAAATACAAAAAATAGCTGAATGTGGTTGGCATGTGCCTGTAGTCTCAGCTACTCAAGAGGCTGAGGCATGAGAATCGCTTGAACCCAGGAGGCAGAGGTTGCTGTGAGCCCAGATCACACCACTGTACTCCAGCCTGGCTGACAGAGTGAGACTCTGTTTCAAAAGCAACTAAGTAAGTAAGTAAATAAATAAGGGATTATTATTAGCCCCACATATCTCTAGTTCACTCATGATATGGTCTGAATGTTTGTTTCCTCCTGAAATTCCTGTGCTGAAACCCTAACTCCCAATGTGATGGTAGTAGGAAATGTGGCCTTTGAGAAGTGATTACATCACGAGGGTAGAGCCCTCATGACTGAAATTAATGTATGCCCAAGGGAGCTCCTTTACCCCTTGCACCACCTGAGGACAAACCTATATCTGTGAACCAGTAAACAGGTTCTACAAGACATCAGATCTATGAAAATCCAAGATTCTGAGAAATCTTGGATTTCTCAATCACCAGAACCATAAGAAATAAATGTTTGTTGTTTAAAACCCACCTAGTTTATGGTATTTTGTTACACCAGCCCGAACGAACTAAGACAGCTCAATTTCAGGCTGTATAATATCAAAAGTTTAAATAATAATAATAAAAAGAAACAAATTCCAGCATGTGTGGGGGACAACAGACAACTCTGTCATCTCTCCTTCACTATTCCAAATTATTATCATAGATTATTGACTGGCTCTATTTCCAAATCCATTGGTTCTTCATAAAATCTAAGTCACTGTCACTCTCTCTCTGACTGACCCTAAGTTTCCACATTAACTACAGAAGCCTGTATTAAGCCTGTAACTAAGAGGTGAAACATAGTTCTATGTATGTGTGTCATGGGAGAGGGGTAGACAGTTTCATATCAGCCATACTTGGGATCTGTATGTCAAAACTGCCTGTACTATCTTAGGGGATGGAAGTGAAATGTCCTACACAGTTTAGACTACTGCTGAGTCACAAAGTGGCCATGTTGTTTAAAAATTCCCACCAGATATCAGAGAAATCCAAGTATCACATGTCCCAGGAGCTTAAGCTACTTCATCTTCCTTTATTCATTTATGCCTGCTATGATATCTGCAACACTCCCATGTTTACTACTTTTCATTAGGATGCATAAAATAATTATGCAAGTGTTTACAAGAGTACATTACAAAAGATAAATTTTAATAGAGTGCATTACAGCCAATCATTTTCCTTTGATGTCTCAAAGATCCAGAGTAGAGTTTATTTCCTCCTATTTAATCCTTCAGAAAACATTTGCAGAATACCATTAACATAAGTAAACTCTTCAATATCCCTTTATCAAAATGCCGTTACCAGTTACAACTCTCTAATTTTTAATGCACTTGCCTCAGATAACTACTCCCACTGTATAATATCCAGTTTAAACCTACCCCCTCATTTTAATACTCAAGTACTTACAGCCATGAGAGAGGAGGATAATTTCCTATGAAGAGTCTCAATAAGGAGGAGATAAATCAGATCTTCCTTGTGAGGAACTATCCTACCCATAGCAGCACAATTAGCATGCCAACCTCTCTCCATACCCACCACAGAATGCCAACAGAACCATATAACTATGGCAACAATCAAAAAAGGTGGCACAGGTATCTCAACCACTAGGTAGAAGGTACCAGCTCTACTCCCACTGAAAACGCATTGAAGTGATTAAAAAGAACTTCTTAAAAACAGAGGCTGGGCCTGAGCGTTCTTAAATGGACTGCATGTGTTAAGAACTTCAGCTCTGGAATCCAACTGCCTAGGCCCAGATCTTCTGAATTTCTGGAATGTAACTTAACCTTACTGTGTCTCTTTCTTTGTCATAAAATGGTATGATAATGTGCCTACCTCATAGGGCATTTCCAGGATTAAATGAAATAATACATGTAAAGTAGCTAGAAATTTGCCTGGCATGTAAGAATTCAAACGGATTAATTGTTGCCTGTGATTTCTAATGCCTCTGTACGTAATAGGTACTTAGGCACTCTTCCAAATGCTGATTTTATGAATCTGCCTAATATTAGTTATTCAAGATTTCCTAAATGTGGTAAGACAAGGTCATCAGACAGATCAATTATCATTAGAGTTGGAATATTCATATTTCATCTTTTGCTTTCTTAAAAAAAATTTCTTTGGAAATGAGCTTACCTTCAGAGGAATACACCATAAACACAATGACTGCTGGTTAGCTGCACAGTTGTTTCTTATTTTCACTTGTCACCCCAGCTCCAAAATTTTCTCAAGTACAAGTTTAGCTACATCAAACTTTTACCTGTGTTAATGACCTATAAGTGCCAGTCAGTAAGATGATGCATTCTCATTAGTGGTCTTCACCTCATTAGAAGCCTGCTCTCACTGATAATGGACATCAGAGGTCAATACAAATCTCAGGAAGAATTCTCTTTAATTTAATAGATAGGCAGGTATGCGGAAGCCAAGTGCTATCTATATGTGGCTACATTTCACATGCCTACAACAATTGCAAAGGCATCTGAAGAAACCTAGCACTAAATCCCAACACGATTCCTGCTGAAGAAACCACCATTATGTCTAATACCAAGGAGAACTACAAAATTTGGATTTTTCCCATCAAGATTTCAGAAAGTACATCCTGGAAAACATCCTCAATGACATCCTGGAAAAAGCATCTGTATTAAACACTTAAGAATTCATATATTTTTTAATATCTGATCTCATCTCACTTGATAAATAAATGAGCTGCAGTAGCAGTATCCTTAAAAGAAAAAAAAATGCAGTGTCATCCCTCCAGCCTTTTCAACAAAAGAGTCAATATTGAAACCTGAGGTAAAACAGCCAAACAAGGTCAAAAGTGATGTAGGTATTTCTGTTATTTCTCAGTTCCTCTCCAAAGGGACTGTTCTGTCTCAGTGTGCATGGGTGATTTCGTGGCTAATTAGCCAACCTAGGATCCACTTAAATAAAGGCACTTGTAAAGGTAAGAGCATGGCTACTCTGCAAGCTTTCTAAAAGACAGTTTCTAAGAAGTGCAGGCTTACGCATGCACAAGCTATCCAAAGTCGGATGTGTTTTCTGAGATAAACTGAAGAAGAAAAGTCTAAATCAACCTTCTCTTCAAAATAAACAAGACACATCAATTCAAGAGAAATCACATACCCAGAAACGTGGCATTTTTGCCAAATACATATCTACAAACTATGTAGGCAAGAAGTTCTGAGATGCCACTGACACCCTGGCCATGTGTCAAGATTGAATCTCACATGAAAGAAATGAAATATGGAAATGTAATTTGAACCCTGAAATCGAATTTTTCTTACAGGAAAAAGTAAAGCCTCAGAGATCTATGGATGGCTTTGTGTACTTATCTAAGCCATTTTTCTATAATAAAGT